>NC_000001.11:230578060-230729576 GCF_000001405.40 Homo sapiens
CTGGTTATTGTTTATTTTCTGAGGAGACAGGGTCTTGCCATGTGGCCCAGGCTTGTCTTGAGCTCCTGGGCTCAAGCGATCTTCCCGCCTCAGTACCCAAAGTGCTGAGATTACAGGCGTGAACCACCATGCCTGGCTCACCTGACTTCTTAAGGACTGTCTTCCTGTGTCCCAAGACTCAGTCAAGACATTTCTATGAGGTTTTTCCTGGCTGTTTCTTACCAAATGGGTCTGACCCCTCCTCCTTTTGCACCCTGTTTCTGTACATCCTTCTTTACAACATCCACGCCATCACTCTGTGGCTCTCTGTTTACTTGTAGAGAGCAGGGCCCAGTTTGAGTAGCCAACCTGCCTGAAACCCACCCAAGCTCTGGACTTTAATAAGCAGATACATTCTCTTTTTGCTTAAGGCTGTTTGAATTGGTCTTTCTGCCACTTGCAGAAGAGACTTGATGTACATCTTTCATATCCCAAGGTTCATTCCAATCATGGACCTTACTTGAACATGAAAAAGCTGTACACAGGGTCCTGGAAACCTTCCTTTAAGTGGACATCAGTCAATTAATCAATATCCTTTGGGTATGGTTATTAAACCAGTGACTACTCTACTTAATTGTAAATAGCATCTAATCCATATTTCCTTACACTGTTCTTAAGCAGGTCATGAAAAATTGCCAAATTACTGGTACACTTTCCAGATCTACCTATCAATGCCATCCACATGGAAACGAGAATTTTCTAAGTCACTGGTTCTTAGACCGGGGATGGTTGTCACCACTGATAACACTGCTAGTGCAGTGGGGGGCGTGGGGTGTGGTTCTCATCTATGTGGTTTCTCATGCATCTCCTTGATGGTGAGAATTTTCTAAGACTCTACAAAGTTTCTTAGCTCTCTCCCATGTCTCCTCCACTTCGAAGATAGAGTTCTTTAGCATTTGTGCACATATGAGCCAATTGTCCCTATAGCACTTAGAGACAAGTAGCCCCATGTTGGGAAAGAAAAATAAAATCTTGGAACCCCAATTCACTTTGACAGAAGGAAAAAAAAATAAGCCAAAAGCTGAATCATGCAAGAAGCTGTCTATCCTTTTGTTCCTAAGCAGATAGCTACAGATGAAAGGTTAAATATCCCCACAAATAGCTACTATATATTCACCTTATCTTATACAAAGTGCCACCTCACTGAGCACAAGACTAACTCATAATTGACTATTCCCTTACCTGCTCCTTTTCTCTTGCAACTTGTGGGTTCTGTACTGTGACCATATTCTCCCTCTTTCCTCTTCCACCTGCTTTTCCCCTGTAAATATTGACGCCCTCAAAACCATCTTTGGAAAATGGCATGGAACAGAGATTGCTCCCACAAATTTGTAATCCTTATTTCTGGGCGTGTTTTTAACTTTGGCAAAATAAACTTCTAAGTTAATTGAGACCTGCCTCAGATACGTTTTGGTTTACAATGTTATGTACACACCTGTGTTTCCCATATTCTGTCCTGTCTCAGTCAACTTATTGTATCTTTTTTTTTTTTTTTGTAATGATTGGTTGCATGGCAGATCTACAGTCACTCAGACTCTTGGACTCAAAGAATAGCAGACCAACAGCAGCAATCAGCACCACCTGGGAGCTGTTAGAAATTCAGCATCTCAGGCTCCATCCCAGATTTACTGACTCTGAATCTGCATTTTAACAGGACACCAGGTCATCCGCATGCACGTGGAAGCTTCAGAAACACAGAGTTAAACTTCGCGTAGTGGAACGGCGAGTGGTGTTCTTCTGGGTTGCCTTTGCTAGTTTGCATGTTTTCCAACTGTCCATGACGTCTCCACATCAAACGCCCTCCTGAATAGTGGCTCTCAGCTGAATAATTGGTCGTCTAATGCCTAAGTTGTTAAACAAAACAAACTTTGAAAGTCAGCTTTTTTTTTTTACAAGCCTTAGCTCACAGTGGCCTTTTGCTTCCTGCTGTTTTTCTTACGTATCCGGGCTGTTCTGTTCTGTTTCTGCGTGGCCTTTGCCTTGTATCCACCATTGGTATAGCGTGGTGATATGCTTTCTTTCTTTGAATTTGCTTTAATTTTTAATATTATATATATGGTACCTGAGATATTTTGATACAAGGATACAATGTGTAATAACCACATCAAGGTAAATGGGGTTCCATCACCTCAAGAATTTATCCTTTCTTTGTGTTACAAACGTTCCAATTATACTCTTTTAGTTCTTTTAAAATGTACAATAAATTATTGTTGACTGTAGTACCTTGTTGTGCTATGAATCTTTTTTTTTTTTTTTTTTTTTTTTTTGAGATGGGGTCTTGCTCTCTCACCGAGACTGGGGTGCAGTGGCCTGATCTCAGCTCACCACAACCTCTGCCTCCCAGGCTCAAGCAATTCTCCTGCCTCAGCCTCCCAAGTAGCTGGGACTACAGGGATGCGCCACTACTGCCTAGCTAATTTTTGTATTTTTAGTAGAGACAGGGTTTCACCATGTTGGCCAGATTGGTCTCAAACTCCTGACCTCAAATGATCCACCTGCCTCAGCCTCCCAAAGTGCTGGGATTACAGGCATGAGGCATCCCACCTGGCAGGATACTAGATCTTATTAACTCTATCTAACTCTATTTTTGTACCCATTAACGATGATATGCTTTCTGGACAGGCAGACTTATTCTTTGCTAATGCCTCCTTTTCTTCCAATATCATTTGCAATTGCATGGTTATTTGGCTTCTTATACCACCCTATCCCCACCTGTTGTTTGCTATTCCCCCACCTCTCAATCACAGGTTTATTGTAATTTTGGTTAAATCACTTTAATTGTCTTCATATTGTTAATTACACATCTAATATATTATAGTTCCTTTCTTTTATAATTAATTGCTAATTATGGATTTAACCATCGCTTAAATTTAAGTGCTGAAATCACTTTCATTTTCTTAGGCATTTATGTGCCTCTAGCCAGTTCTTCCCATTTTCTCCGTAGCTTCTCAATATAATTTTCTACATGATGAAGTAAATTTTAATTTTCTTATGATTCTATGTATGTGTAGATAATTCTTCCCATGCCCTCTACAGCTTTTCAGTTAACTTTTCCATGAGATGAGAGAAGCTATCGGTTGTCATTTTGTTCCAGAGACATCCCTCCTTGGAGCCGTCTGGCTTCCTGTTGTAATTGGAACGAATTGACAGACAGGCCAGCGGCCCAGCTGACATTCTGGGGCTTCCTTTCATTATCATCTTGCTTATCAGTGTGGGTCCAATCAGGAGACAGAAAAAGGGGAAGTTTAATATAAGCAATTATTAAACTATTATAGGAGAATAACTATAAAGATGTAAAGAAAACAAAAACGGGTACCCGAGGGTTGGGAGAAAGGCCCTAAGGAGGGGCTGCCTGGAGGGGCGCTTCTTCCCCAGGTTGCATCCTTGCTGAGAAGGTGCGGTTGCAGACTCCTCGATGGCAAGGGAGTTTCTGGGCTACTGGGGCCTGAGCTTCTCTGCCTTCACTTGGTAAGCAGGAATCCGGCCTCTTGAGTGTGAGCCAGCCAAGGCTGGTGGGGGGCATGCAGAGGGAGCGGAGGCCACACTGCAGTCAAAGCCCTGAAGCACAGTGTCTGTCCCGGGGCTGGGCAGGGGGTGGAGGATGGGGACACAGCAACGTGGTTCCTCGGCCCCAATTAGGACCGCAAAGCCTTAGGAGGCTCATGCTCTGGACGTGTGGCTGGGGCAGAGCACCAGCGATGTTTCCACACAGAGCGCACTGCGGGTGGTCAGAGCGGCGGGTGCAGGAAAAGCAAAGCACAGCCACTGCAGCTAGAAAGGACGTTCCCTAAGTGCCCTTCCACTGCCCTCTACTGACGAAGCTTAACATCGTGTTCGCTATAAAAGAGGAAAGCTTGAAAGCTCAGTTCATTTTTGCACAGCAGGTACTGAAGGGTGAATTTAGAGCTGACAGGCCATAAATGCACCCCTGGCACAGACTACCCCTTTGAATACCCAGGTTTCATACACACTCTTCTACACACATTTGACTGTCATACAAAAACCAAACAACTCAGTATTTCTACCTAACAAGTTATGGCTCTCCTTCTTACAAGGGAGGAACTCTCACCTTCCCCCAAGATATAAAGAAGCAAAATCCCAAAAGATGCAAAACCCCAATTACTGTATCCATCACTGCCTCTATTACTCTTCAAATTTAGTCATGGTCCCATGGAATATTCTATTACCTAAAGACTAAATTGTAAAGTTGACCTCCAACAACTTGGATAAAAATTTAAAATAGGAAGGAGATATTTAAAAATGGTTAGTATATGTCATGCATACATACTATGCATTGTATGCATAGTAAACACATGCATACAAAAAGCAAAGAGAAAATACGCAAAGCTTCTACAGTCCTCACTTCTGTAGTTGGTCATGAGCTCATGGTTAGTATCTGTGGCTTCTTTCTTCCACAGTCCAGTCTATAACTTTCTTTTCCTCCTGGCCCAAATCTCAGCAGCTCAGGATTTTCTACCTGGTAGAATGACTCAAACTTTCATTCCCGAAGGGTCTGAGTCTCCAGCTGTGCTGCTTTTTCTTTTGTTGCTACATAGTCCATTAATCTCTTAATTTCTTTTGTTGCTACATTGTCCATTAATTAATGGACAAAAAATTTCTTTTCTTGCTGCATTGTCCATTGATTAATGGAAATGTTACTACATTGTCCATTAATTAAAAAGAAAATGAATTTCTTTTGTTGCTACCTTGTCCATTAATCTCTACTGCTGGACAGGGGAGTACTAAGAGATGACTCGGTGACTTCCCTTGGGTTCCAGACACGGTCCTCCTTGCCTCCATTGCATAGCAGCAGCCCAATCGACCCAGGTAATCAGGATCAATCACTTCAGCCAATCAGCATAATGTCATCAATGTGATGGACCCAGTGGGATGTTTTGTGGAACATCAAGATGATCAAGATCTCTGTGGACTACATGAGAGCAGAGAACTGGGAAGTTGATGTCACTCTGAGGCAACACTGTGAAGATATACCATTGGACCAGACAGGTAAAAGCAAACTGCTCTGTTAGCCCTTGAACACTGGTATGGAGAAAGGGCCAGGTCGGTGGCGTCATACCCAGTGCCAGAAGCTGTGTTGATTTGCTCCAGTAAAGACACTGCCTGGGGACAGCAGCTTCAAGTGGAGTCTCACGATTTGATTTAGTTTAAGATGGTTCAGTCATCCTCCAGGATCCATCTGGCTCTGCACAGCCCAAACAGGTAAGTTAAATGGGGGTGTGATAGACAGTGCCCTCCTATTTCTTTCAAGTCTTTGTTGGTGGCATTAACCTCTGCAATTCCCCCAGGAGTGCAGTATTGTTTCTATTTTACTATTTTGGTAGGAAAAAGACATTACAAGGGCTTTGACTCAACATTTCCTACCAGCATGTCCCTTGTTGCCAGGTACTCAGGAACTAGAGAAATAGCCACCGAGTGGGCCTGCTGTGAGTTAGACTCCATTGATCACCTGACCACCATAAGCCTTTGCATTGACTGGTGGGCCACAGTGTCTTTTTTTTTTTTTTTTTTTTGAGACAGACTCTCCCTCTGTCACCCAGGCTGGAGTGCAGCAGCACAATCTTGGCTCACTGCAACCTCCCCTTCCTGGGTTCAAGTGATTCTCATGCCTCAGCCTCCTGAGTAGCTGGTATTACAGGTGTTCACCACCATGCCCAGCTAATTTTTGTATTTTTAGTAGAGACGGGGTTTTGCCATGTTGGCCAGGTTGGTCTCGAACTCCAGACCTCAAGTGATCTGCCCACTTTGGCCTGCCAAAGTGCTGGGATTACAGGCATGAGCCACCACGCCTGGCCCACGGTGTCTTTTGAGTGAGCTGACATTTGGCACCACTTTTCCCCTGGAGTCATTTGCTGATTCTAAAGCTGTACCTAAGAGGCTGAGAAGCTGAAAGAAAATGCAGCTGAAAGTCTGAGAAGCTGAGTAGAACTATCAGCACTCCTATGGGGCAGGGAGAAAATATTAAAACCCACCAAGGAGGAGAGGCCCCAGTAAATCCCAAGGCTTGCAGTTGGGACTCCCAAAAGGGTATACCATTGAAGGAAGGAAAAACTGGAAATAAACCTTCCTTCTAGCATCCAATCAGCTCAATCCATGATTGCTGCCGTCTGCCCCAAACTGTCTGCAGAAACAAAAGCTAATTCTTTCTGGGAGAAGATAACATTATTCAATGCCTCAAATTATCACTCCACTTTTTTTTTTTACTCAGTTAAATGTAAAGACATGCAATAATACAAGTATTAGGGGAAGGGATGATTTCTTTCAATGTGGTGTTAGGCTGGTTGCAATCCACATGGTTAAAAAAGTAAATTACGCCACATAAAAAAAATCAGTTTCATATAGACCACAGATGTAATGTGGAAAGGAAAACAACAAGCCTACTAGAGGATCACATGGAAAGCAATTTGAAGACACTGATTTGGCAAAGATTTCTTAGAACATCATAAACATGAACCACAAAGAAAAAGATTGACAAACCATATCACATTAAAATTAGAACTTCTGTTCATCAAAAAATGATGATAAAGAGAATGGAAAATGTAATATACAGTGTGGAGAAAATATTTGTGATAAAACTGATAAAAAGATTGTGTCCAGAATATATATATTTTAAAGTTCTGATATGCCAAAAAAGAGAAGCTCAAACAGCCTAAAATAAAAATGAATAAAAGGCCTCAATAGGAACTTCACAATAGAGGACATTCAAATAGTTAATAGGCCTATCAAAATGTGCATAGTAATCAGAAAAAATGCAAATTAAAATCACAATGAGTTCCTACAGCAAACCCACCAAAATGGCTCAAATTAAGAAGACTGACCCTACCAAGTGAAAATGTGGAGTAAACAAAATACTCATATGTTGCTTGTGGGAGGCTAAGTTGGTACAACTTGGAAAAAATATTGGGCAATATTTTCTAAAGCTGAACATATGAATGCTCATGACCCAGCAAGTCCATTTTAAAGTATATATCTGTGGTAGGCAGACAAATGGTTCTCAATGATTTTAACATCCTAACCCCAGCACTTGTGAATATGTCACCTTACATGGCAAAATGGACTTTGCAGACGTGATTAGGTCGAGGATCATGAGATGGAGAGATTATCCTGGATGATCCTCCTGGACACTAAATGTGATCACGAAGGTCCTTATAAGGGAAAGAAGAAGGCAGGAGAGTCAGTGTGAGAGAAGGCCATGTGACAGTGGAAGCAGGGTTTGGAGTGATGCCATTGTTTTCTGGAATGGGCCACGAGTCAAGGAATGTGGACAGCCTCTAGAAGCTGGAAAAGGCATGGGAAAAAATCCTCCCCAGACTCTCCAGAGGGAATGCAGCCCTGTCAACACCTTGATTTTACCTCAATGAGACCCATTTTTGGACTTCTGACCTCCAGAATTATATTAAATTTGTATTGTTCTCAGTCACTAAATTTGTGGTAATTTGTTACAGCAGCAATAGGTAACTAATACAATATCTAGCTGAAATAAGTACATATGTGTACTGAAATACATCCGAAGAGTGTTTCAAGAGCATTATTTGTTAAATACAAAACTGTAAATCATTCAAACTTCATTCACAGTGGAATAGATACATTGTAGTATAATCATTCAATAGAATACCACATAGTAATGCAAATGAATAACTACTGTTGGACATAACAGTATACAGTGTGGATGAATCCAGTGGTGTACGTAAATTTTTAATGACTGTCTTTGGATGGGGGGTTGTATACATACATGTATGTTTGTGTGCACACATGTGTGTGTATATATATATGCTTATTATAAATGTTACTAATATAAAGGATGTATAAGATACAATTTACAAAAAATAAAATATATAATACTTATTGTAAATTCCATATTGCCAATTGATTCTCAATCGATTTTGTTGATTTTTGCCAAACTCTTGAACCTGTAGTTCTGTCATGAATGTTAGTTGATAGCTTTATTTACGTTAAAGACTAAGACAAAAGACAATAAAGATTTATGTCAAAACTTCTTTCATTTGTTGGCCGGGCACGGTGGTTCATGCCTGTAATCCTAGCACATTGGGAGGCCGAGGCAGGCAGATCATCTGAGGTCTGGAGTTCAAGACCAGCCTGGCCAACAGGGCGAAACCCCGTCTCTACTAAAAATACAAAAATTAGCCAGGCATGGTGGCAGGCGCCTGTAATCCCAGCTACTCGGGAGGCTGAGGTAGGAGAATTGCTTGAACCTGTGAGGCGTGGAGGTTGTGCCCCTGCACTCCAGCCTGGGCAAAAGAGCGAGACTCCATCTCACACAAAAAAAAAAAAGAAAGAAAAAACAAAACAAAACAAAACAAAAAAACTTTTCAATGACTTCAGCAAAAAGAGAGAAAAACTTCTCTCATTTGTCAAACTATCATCTTGAACTGGATAGTATATTTGAATACTGGAAAAATAATTCCTCAATTTTTTTGTGTACTTCAGTGTAATGGCCACAGACACAACACATTTAAGTTTAATCTGCAATATTAACATTTTTTCACCACTTTCTTAAGTCTAGACAATCAAAAAAACAATAAATCCATACCTTTTTATTTATAGCATTTTCTGATTTCTATGATGTAAAGATTCCTACTGTGGCCAATTTTAAGCTATCATGGTGACACAATTGTAAACAAGGTCAGGAAGAAACACACAATAGCACATCATCATATAGTATTCCACGCAATTACAACAGGTAGAAACAACCCCAAAGCAGAGGGCATACTACAGTGTAGTTAGAGAAACAGGAAGTAATCAGTTTGAGTATTTATTACCTGTGTTTTTAATTGTGATTTAATTATGTTTTTATAATTTAATTTTTCTAATAATTATGTTTAACAAATAAATTTCAAAATTTCTGAAAATGTAACCATCAGCTCTTGTGAGTTGGTACAAAACATACTCCTGAACACACATTGGACAAAACTTTAAAAATAACATTGAGTGAAATTAGCTAGATGTAAAAAAATACTGTATGAGTTCATTTATATAAAATCCTAACAGAAGCGAAGCTTAACTCTTATGTTAGATGTCAGGATAGTGGCCTAGCTAAGCCCCATCTACATCAGCTGACCCCCAGGCACACAGGTGAACCCAGGGTAGCAGAGCCAATGGGCTGAGCCCAGCCTGGATCACTGACTCTCTTGCTAACTCACACATCCGTGACAATAAGTGACTGCTCATCCATGATTACAAGTGATTGCTGTTTTAAGCCACTGAATTTCGGGAGGGTTTGTCATGTGGCATTTTTCTGGCAATAGCTAGCTAATAGAGAAATTGTATGAAGGTACAATTCTTCCCTTTGGGGAGGAAAGTGAGGAGGGTGGCCAGAAGGGGATGCAAAGGAGACTCCTAGGTGCTGGTAATGTTCTACTTTTTGACCTGTGGCTGTTACATGCATGTATTCCCCTTGTGATAACTCACTGAGTTATACTTACGATTTGTACTGTTTTCTTTACTCGTGTTTTGCCTCAATAAAAAGGTTTATTTAAAAAATACAATTGTCAGATTAATTCATGAAGAAGTGCTCAATTTCTCTGGTAATCAAAGATAGTGAAATTGAAATCTTTAAATACCATTTTCCACCTAACTGGTTGGTAAAGATTTTTAACGTTGTTACTCAGTGTTGAGAGATTGCGGGAAAATGAGCATTTTAGCATATTGATAGTGTGATAAGATGTCGGAGGGGTGATTACATATTAGTACAAACTTTTTGGAGTGTTATTTGGCAAATTTATAAAACAATTAGCAAAATATCTTTTGACTTGCAATCTTACAGTTGGAAGTTCATACTAAGGAAATAATTATAATTATTTGCATAGATCTAGTTATTGATATGTTCATCATAGCATTGCTTTTGATAGTGAAAAATACAAAAATATGAAATGTTATAAAATTGGGTTTGGTTATATAAATAAGGTATATTCCCATAAATGTGGTCATTTTATATGATGAAAAAAATGGGTAGTAAATTTCACAAAAAGCTGTTTGTGATCTCTTACTTAATGAAAAAGAAAGCAGTTCATTAAACAATGTGCTGTATACAATGGTATACCCTGGCCTTTGTAAAAATAGCTACATATTGTATAGATAGATTTACATGTCTAGGTATTATAGATAGGTGGATGGTAGCCATGTAAGTAAGCAGGTAGGTATGCAGGTAAGTAGGTAGGTAGGTGTGCAGGTAAGTAGGCAGGTGTGTAGGTAAGTAAGTAGGTGGGCAGGTAAGTAGGTAGGTGTGCAGGTAAGTAGGCAGGTGTGTAGGTAAGTAGGCACTAAGTAGGTAGGTGTGTAGGTAAGTATGCAGACATGCAGGTAAGTAGGCAGGTGTGTAGGTAAGTAGGTAAGGTGTGTGGATAACTAGGTAGGTGTGCAGGTAAGTAGGTAGGTGTGTAGATAAGTAGGTAGGTGTGTAGATAATTCAGTAGGTGTGTGGCTAAGTAGGTAGGTGTGCAGGTAAGTAGGTAGGTGTGTGGATAAGTAGGCAGGTGTGTAGGTAAGTAGGTAGGTGTGTGGATAAGTAGGTGGGTGTGTAGGTAAGTAGATAGGTGTATGGATAAGTAGGTAAGTGTGCAGGTAAGTAGGTAGTTGTGTAGGTAAGTAAGTAGGTGTGCAGGTAAGTAGGTAGGTGGGCAGGTAAGTAGGTAGATGTGCAGGTAAGTAGGTAGGTGGGCAGGTAAGTAGGTAGGTGTGTAGGTAAGTAGGTAGGTGTGTGGATAGGTAGGTGTGCAGGTAAGTAGGTAGGTGTGTAGGTAAGTAAGTAGGTGGGCAGGTAAGTAGGTAGGTAGAAAGCTATGAAAGTCTGGCAGGAGACACACCAAAGCATGAATCGTTTTTATAACTGCATAGTGGAACCATAGGTGATTTTCATTTTCTACTCTGATCTGTATTTCCTAATGTCTTCTCCCATGTGTGTGCACTTTGTTTAATTAAAAGTTACAGAAACAAGCACCACCACCAACCAAAAAGACTCTAAACAGTTTCATATCAGGTCAAATGTTGCTGCCAAATGATTCATGAAAAAACCTTTTAGAGCTTTCTGGATATTGTAATTTCAGCTAAAGATAGGTGAGCTACAAAATATTTGCACTGGAACTGTATTACCTATTTCCTCTAACAGATCGGGTGGCCTATAGCACATGTCCACTAGGGTATTGTTTTTGTCATTTTTTTCTTCAATCCTTACCCCTATGCTCCACCAAGATTTCTGCTGGCAGGTTCGTGGATATCCAGACGTATTATAGAACCCAATCTTGCTACTTAACTGTCTGGTTCTTTTGTGTGGAACAATCTTCTCCATCCCTGGATTCCATTTTAAGCAATATCTTCCAAATCTCTGTGATAATTAGATTTCCCACTCCAGCTTATAAGTCGGATTCACTTGATTTACTCTGCATATTCTACACGATGGAGTATAAATGTCCAAGGTCATGTCTTATGCCTAGCTCCCTTCCTAACCGCATGCTCATATGAATCACCAGATACCCTTTTCTTTGCCAGAACTGCTGTCTTCAGTAATAATTGGGTTCATCTAGGTTTCCCCTTTCTTGCTCACATTTGCTTTAAATCGCTGTTAATCAGATTCACTAGACTTTAGGGAAATAACAATACAACTGTTATCAAAAGGTGTATCAAATATTTATATCACACCATGGAGTTTGTTTTGTTTTGTTTTCAGAAAGAAGGAGTCTTACTATTTTGCCCAGTTTGGACTCGAACCCCTGGGCTAAAAGGATCCCCCCATATCAACCTCCCAAGCAGCTGGGACTACAGGTGTTAGCCACTGTGCCCAGCTACTAGCATTTGTTTTTTTAAATAAAAGAACTCCCTCAGTACTCTCATGGATTATAATTATTAATAAACACATAAATTCAGACAATTTAGTTTTCAAATATCTGTTTAAATAAAGGGAGGATGTTGTTACAATTCCTGAATGTTAGAACTGGTGCAAGAAGGGAAAGCAACAGTTTAATTGTCCACATCAAGGCACTGAGGGTGCCAGGATGGAAAAGGAGGTTCACGGATGAGTGCTCATTCATTCTCCTTCAGACCACAGCAATGTTGCTGCAATTACCTTCCCCAGGCACAATTCTGCATAACGGTGCTTTCCATTACAAAGCTACTCACTTGAATCATTTAAATAATGCAAAAAGTATACAATTTACCTATGTAATAATGTTATTTATAGCATGCCTTTCATCCATGGATATGCAAGAGCTTTAAAAGCCACACTTAATACAGACTTACAGGTGCTTCCAATCTGACCCATGCAAGCAGGCTAATATTGCTGATGTCATTGAGTCTATAGATGAAAAGATGTGAGAATATCTTCATATATTAATATATTCCATGTCTTCATATTCTTAATATATGCCAACCTGTCCTAAGCTCTTTCCCAAGATCACACACCTCATTCTTTAAATACATTTTAACCCACTTTTGATCTATTTGACATTCAAACCTTTGGAAGCAATGCCAGAATATGGTATTTCAAATGATTTTATGTGAGGACTCTTTTTTTTCTTCTTTTTTTAGACAGAGTTTCACTCTTGTCACCCAGGCTGGAGTGCAATGGCGCAATCTTGGCTCACTGCAACCTCTGCCTCCTGGGTTCAAGCGATTCTTCTGCCGCAGTGTCCCAAATAGCTGGGATTACAGGCATGCGCCACCATGCCCGGCTAATTTTGTATTTTTAGTAGAGACAGGGTTTCTCCATGTTGGTCAGGCTGGTCTCGAACTCCCAACCTCAGGTGATCCGCCCGCCTCAGCCTCCTAAAGTGCTGGGCGTCAGCCACCACGCCCGGCCATAAGGACTTTTTTTGTGAGCTGAAGATATGTGGATTAGGGAAAAAATACTAAGATATTTAGGTGCATTCTTAACATTTCTATGATTAAAAAGTCAGCCTTGAGATGGGAGGATCACTGGAGCCCAGGAGTTTAAGGCTGCAGTGAGCTATGATCGCACCACTGCACTCTGTACTGGGCCACAGAGCAAGACCCCATTTCTAAAAATAAAATAAAAATTTTAAAAGTCAGTCTTGTATTAATGGGTATTCTTTTTTAGTTTTAACTTGCAAATCTCTCTAAGAAATTAACGACTTTTAGACATGTTTGGTAGACTTCATAAGTTTCAGATGCAACATCATAACCTTCAAAAGATCTGTGCTTTGAAGATATAATAGTTACTCCATGTTACAGTTTGGAGGAAGATAGGTGGAGGTAACAGGTGGGGTGGACAGAGCCTAAGTGACTTGCTCAGGGTTACCAACATGATCGGGGCTTCCAGGGTTTTAAAGTTTAAAATTTCACGTGGATGACATGTTCTATCCTAGAATGTAGAGGGCAAAGAATGGGAAGGTAACTATAGAAACAAACAGCTTAGCTACTAAAAGTGAATATTAAATAAATTAAAATAAGTAGTTTGGAAGGTCATATCTATAGGTTAAATGAGAATTTAGGACAGTGCAGAAGAATTCCCCACCATGATCCTCTCCCCATCTTTTAGTCTATCCCAGTGGAGCTTCAGTTTTATTGTGCTCTCCAGCATTCATTCCAGAAATTTGCAGGAAGTTGTCTTAGAAATGGGATGGAAGCCAGCTATGTTATCTCTCCAAGCTTCCCCAGTGTGACCCTGATTTTATCCTGGAGCCAATTTTATACATTCCTTTCTTTCCTCATCCCATCTGCCCATCATAAGCTGCCCCTGATCTCCACTCATCATGGGTGGCTAAACATTATTGCATAATCGGTCCTGGCCATAAAACTAGAAGCACAGCCACATCTTCAGGATCATAGCAATGCCAAAGTGAACATTCCTATGCAAATACCCTGTTGAACATGTGCAAGTGTGTGTAGAATGGGTTTCTTCAGCTCTACTTTCAACGAAGGGGTGAGGATAAGTACTACCAAGAGGGTTACAACGGAGGACGGAAGATCTGGGTCCAAGATCCTGCTCTACTGCAGCAGCACTGAGCTGGCAGAAAGCAGCAGGCAAACACCTCCTTTGCCTTCTTATTAGGGAATGTGGAAAGGCACCGCACAGGGAAGCGAGGCAAAGCAAGAAAAAGTGAGCAGCTTCCCTCACAGCAGCAACCAAGTCACACTGCAGATGGTTAGACAGGCAGGCCTGCATTCAAGATCAAGTTAACATTGAGCAGAGACTGCCTTCCACCTGCAAACCAGGGAAAGGAAAGGAAATGGGCTTTGTTATCATTGGCCTTATTGACCAGTGGCTCTCCCTTTTTTATCTCCAGAACTCATTTGTTGTCCAGACACCCTACATCTGCCTGTAATTGAAGCCAAAGGTAGAAGGTTAGAAGACCGGCAGCTTAGGGACATAAGCAGCGGGGCTCTTGCCTGGATACGGTGCCAGAGACTTGCTGTCTGCTCTTTTCTTCTACCATCCTATCCCTCTCCCCAAGGGCTCTACAACAATAGGCTTTTAGTGGGATAAAGAGCCTTAGAACCATCCAAATCCATCCTAAACTATAGGTGTATCAGTCAGGGTTCTCCAGAGAAGGACCACCAGTAGAAGATATATAAAAAGAGTTTTTTATAACATATTGGCTCATGCAATTATGGAGACTGAGAAGTCCCATGATCTGCTGTCTGCAAGCTGGAGACCCAGGAAAGCCAGTTGTGTGGTTTGAAGGCCTGAAAGCCAGAGACCTGGTGGTGTAGATTCCATTCCAATTCTAAAAGCCTGAGAACCAGGAGAGCTGAGGGCAGGAGAAAATGGATGTTCCAGCTCAAGCAGTCAGGCAGAATTAATTCAACTTGCCTCTACCTTTTTGTTCTATTGAGACCCTCAATGGATTAGATGATGCTATCTGCCTTTCTCAGTTCACCAACTCAAATGCTAACCTCTTCCAGAAATAATGTTTAAACGGCTATCTGGGCATCCTGTGGCCCAGTCAAGTTGATGGATAAAATCAACCATCCTAGTGGGTAGAACAAATACAACTCCCAAGAGGGAGACAGGGGCAATCTTTAAGGACAGTGCTTTCTCTGGAGGAAACTCTGTACTAAGTTTGTTCAATACAGGGTGGTTCCTGACTTGGATTCATGAGAAGCAGACCTTGAGTCAAGGATTCATATGCAAGTGATGAGTTATGGAAGTGCTAATGAATGAGTGGGGCAGCCAGAAAGGGAAGAGAAGTCAAGGGAGAGTGTACTTTTAGGCAAAATCCTAGCTTTAGCTTGATGATGCAGAGGAGCTTTGAAATGTACATTACACCTCCAAGTATGTCCCAACTCAAGGGAAAGAGCTGGGTTTTCATAACACGTCCCACCTGTCATCTGCTAAGGCCCACCCCAAAGGAACCTAAATTCCCAGGCAATTCTGGCTGTCTGCTGGTGTGAGCAAAGTGACTCAGGACTGTAGTCTCAAGAGAGCCACAGGTGTGGCCATCAGGAAAAAAGCATATAGAAGTCAAAGGATGGCCACAGACACAGCCAGAATCCAAGGGAATCTGGGTAGGAGGAGGGAGGAAGCACCACCTTAAAGAAGAGTATGATGGAAAGCAGGAAAAACGGAATCTATTCCACACACATATTTGCACATGTTCAAAAGGGTACATGCCCAAGAATGTTCATTCCAGCACTGTTTTTAGATAGCAAAGAAAATAAAAATAAAAAGTTGGAAACCACCTAAATATCCACTAATGGTGGGCTAAATAAATCAATTACATGTTCAGATTATATTATTCAGTGAATACAAAAAACATATGAGATTGTTATGCTCTTCAAGCTATATTATTAAATAAAAAACTCAAATTGCAGATTAATAATCTTATGCAAAATATTTTTTAAAATTTAAAATTAGATGTGTAAATAAATTTAATTTACACATACCCATGTACAAAAATGCCTAGAAAAGGGTCTAGAAAAGTATATGCCAAAGTGAGGAGACAGTAGGGTTGCTGTGTCAAAGGGGACTCGTAACATTTTATTCAATAGACTTGATTTTTAGAATATTTTCCAGTAACTGTGTTTATGTATTATTCATGTAGTTACAAACAAAATTGCCTTTGTAAAAGCAGGTCTGACATTTTGAAACGTGGATCTGTAACTGATCTATGAATCACAGGAAAAAATCAAAATTTCTCCATTCCATCCTTACATTTTTGTTGTACCATGCCCTTGACAGAAAGTGGAAGTAATTTCTAAAGGCACCCTGACCCCCAGGAATCAAGATGGCCAAAAGGCATAATAATTCTCTGTGTTCAGTTGACATTTTTTTATGCAACTAAGTGGACTCTTATCTTTCAATTCTTTAAGGTTCAAAGGTCTTCCATAAACCTGTTTTGGCAGGAAACATCAAGCTTTGCAAGATGCACATTATATGACCCTCAAGGATGGAGCCTAGGACACTGTTTCACATTTGGGGTCTTCTCGCAGCCTCTGGTCCATGTTTTCCTCAAGATGGAGGCTGACCCAGTGTTGGTTGGCAGGCTGCCAAAGATTCTTCAGGGACATTGGCACTTTGCTTCCTTAAGGGTGCTAGAATACTTACATAAATAAAGAGCTTACTTCTCAAATATATGTAAATCTTAGGGTATTTTGATTTGGATGTAGCTTGACTTAGTGTAATGTATTCTTGGGTTTTTAGGTCTTAAGATTTATATTGAGAAGACAGTGGCAAAGCATAGAGCATATAATAATCTTCAAACTGGTGACAAGGAAGGGTAATGAAATGAAATAATAGAACCAAGTAAGAGAAACCACAAGATCAAAAAGAAGGAATGGGGCTGGGCACGGTGGCTCACGCCTGTAATCCCAGCACTTTGGGAGGCTGAGGCAGGTGGATCACCTGAGGTCAGAGGTTCAAAATTAGCCAGGTGTGGTGGCAGGCACCTGTGATCCCAGCTACTCAGGAGGCTGAGGCAGGGGAATCATTTGAACCCGGGAAGTGGAGGTTGCAGTGAGCTGAGATCAAACCATTGCACTCCGGCCTGGGCGACAAGAGCGAAATTTGGTCTCAAAAAAAAAAAAAAAAAAAAAAGAAGAAGAAGGGATGAAGAGTAGATAAGTAATTTTGTAGAAACTGAGAGAGGATTCTCCCAGAGATGAAGTTACTATATTGTTTTATTCCTTTCTACTGTCTTCTTTGCTAAAATGTTCCCACCTCCCAACTTAATAAAGAAATCCACAACCCTGTCTCATGCATAAGTAGCTATGACCCATCTCTCTCCTTTCATTCCCAATCAGTAGTTGTGAATGGTTTCCCACGATCATCACCTTCACAGCTATTCAGCTCTTCCACTTGGCTCCACTCCACATTGCTTACTAAGGTCATTAGTATCTTTACAGTTTCAGAATCAGATGGACATTTTTTATTCTCTTCTCACTTGAGAGGCAGTGTCATGTCATGAAATGAACCTCAGCTTGCTCCTTTTTCGAGATTTGACTTAAATGTCACCTGTTTCAGCAAGGCACATGCTGACATGTCTTAGAAGTGTTGGGTACAGTTTTCTCTTTGTCTTTTTAGTACCGACACATACATTCCATTTAGAACTTTTGTCATTGTCTTATCATGACTTACAGATCTGTCCCCTGCAGTGGCATACGAGGTTCTTGAGGGCAAAGACTATATCTACATTAATCCTGTCCCAGTGTCCGGCCAATAGAAGGTATTCAGTAATAGCTATTGAGTGAATAAGTTAATGAATGACTGAATGAATTAGTAAATGAATACTCATACATAAGTCTGGAAAACAGAGACACGAAAGATAATAATTCTTCAGATAGCTAAGGAAGACATAGCCATAATTTGAATTGAGAGGAAGTATAGGAGAATAAAGAAAAAAAAAGGCCAAAGAACCCCAAGTTTGGGTCTAAAAACATAAGCCTAGGATATAAAATACAGAAAAACAATTGATCTGGGTAACGATTAATGAGGTCAAACCTTTCGAACTAGGTTCAATAATAATAAAAAGATTTTCCTTTAGCCTCTCTACTTGTACAAGGTACATGACTCAAGGCATCATTACCTTGTAGTAAAATAGTTCAACTGCACTCAGCTGACCTTCTGTGTTGATGACTACTAGATAGTAGGACAGGCAAAGGTTTTGGTTCCAGTGACTCGATTTGTAAAGGAAAAATTCTGCCAGATTCCTTGAGTGCCAGGCAAGAGGCTTTTAGGCAATAATGTCGGAGAATCAATGGTTTAGGGCTAATTTAATCAGAAATAACAAAATAAGTATTTGAAGGTGTCAGAACATATTTGAACTTGTATTCAACCAAGAAATATGTATTGGTTGTAAGATCTTAGAAAGAGGCCCACATCTCTGCCTGGTTCTCACATGCCTCCCCTAAGGATAGCAACGAAAAAGCCATTCTTGGAACAGCACCTGACCATCCACTGCCAATTAGGTCAGTGTCTTTGCAAGAGATTAGACCCAACTTGGGTCCGTGTCTGGACTTGGTGTTGATGTGCCTATCACAGGTCTGCTCAAGTGAAAGAACCTAAGAACTTCACCAACTGTTTCTGGATAGGCCTGTCCCAAAATAGGCAGAGAGAACCAAAGCCTGAGGAAATGGTGCTGGTACAATATTAGGCATTATATTATATCAATATTAGATATCAATGACTAGGTATGTGGCATTATTCCCTGCTTTGCACCAGCAGATAAAGCCATGAAGAAACAGGTAAAAAGGTTTATCACCTCTTGGCCAGGTACAGTGGCTCACAACTGTAATCCTAGCTACTTTAGGAGGCTGAAATGGGAGGATCGCTTGAGGCCAGGAGTTCGAGATCAGCCTGGGCAACATATTGAGTTCCTGTCTCTTAAAAAAAAGTGGGGGGGTTATCATCTCCTGCTCCTATGGAAAGGCTCACTGGAGTCAGTCAAGTCCTACTGCTTCCATTCTCAACCTGCTCAGCCCCATGACTGTCTTACACCCATTCTGCGCAGGCAGCATGGACCTGGACATCAGACAGCCTGGGCATATATTAACCCCTGCTTTGTGTGAGTTAATGATCTAACTCAACAAAACCTTAGTGTCCTAATCAGTGAAATGGAGATAGTATTAGGAAAACCCTCACAGGGTCATTTAGGAGATTGGTCATGATAATGGATGTAAAGGGCTTAGTACTCTGCCTCTGCCTTAGTGTTAGTTATTATTATTGGTCATGGGGACCACGAGATAGTCTTCCAATCCATGCTTCCAGTGGATTGGGAGAGAGGGTTTGTTTATGAGCAGTTTGATTCACTATACACCCACCTAAGTCAACATTGCCTCTTACACACTTTGCAATTTTCTAACAGGTTTTCATCTACCATATTCAAGATGGAAACTGTGCCCCAGCCCCACACAGGCTGCCCATGCCTCTTGATATGTTAAACTCCCATACATATCCTCACTCACCCGCAGTTGCATTCCCCAATATTCTTGAGCCCAATGTAGGGGCAGAAATAAAAAGGCTAGCTTAGCCACCATACCAGTTAGAGTCAATCAGGGAGGCAGAATCACTAGGATATGTGTGCACACATGTGTTTGCATTTGTGTGTGTGAATATGGATTTGTTACATAGATTGCACCTTGCACAATTGTGGGATGAATTGTGTAGTCTCTATAAAGCCTAAAAAACATTGCTGTTATAAAACAATAGTTTTATGGGGCCATTAAAATATATTTACCCATACAATTTCACTTTATTTCTTCTTTATTCCTTGCATCTCTGAACTCCTGTCTAATATCATCTTCCTCCTCCTTAAAGAACATCCTTTAGAATTTCCCTTAATTCTCTAAAGTGGCATCAAATTTTGTAGTCTAAAAATGTCTTTATTTAGCCTTCACCTTTTGAATATAGGAAAAACAAACTCTTTTCCTCTAAACTCATACCCAACACTTCTGTGACCAGGTATGTGGGTTTTTGTGGGGTTTTTTTCCATACCAACCAATTCTCCAATTCTCTGGATACCAACTGAGTGTCCTATAATTCATTTGAATTCTGACACTGTCTACCTGGAATTAGTGTCAGACCCCACAGGTTAAAAGTCCTACAAGACTACCCCCACTTCAGATGCCAATCAAAAGCCCAGGTGGTTGTCATCTGTCCATCCGTGTTCCTCACCAACTGGCTATAAATTGGAGGTTCCCATGATCCCCTCCTTGCAGTCAATTATTTGCTAAATTGGCTCACAGAACTTAGGAAACACCTATGTTTACTAGTTTATTATATGGGTTACAGATGAACAGCCAGATGATGAAGTACACATGGCAGGGTCTGAAAGAGTTGGGGTGTGCCACCCTGCTGACACATGCATGTAGTCCTCAACTGGGAAGCTCTGCAATCCCTATAGTTCAGGGATTTTTATGAAGACTTCATCACACAGGAATGACTGGTTACAAACTCAAGCTCCAGGTCCTCTTCCCATCCCAAAGGATGAGGTCGAGGGTGGGACTGACAATTCCAAGATTCTAATCACAACTTGGTCTTCTGGTGACCAGCCCCCAACCAGAAGCCCACTGACAGTCACCTCACTAGAACAAAAGATGCTTTTATCACCCAAGAAACTCAAAGGGATTAAGAGTTCTGTGTCAGAAATTGGGGTCAAAGACCAAGTATTAGAACAAAAGATGTTACTAGCACCTCTATAGCTGAGGAAATTACAAGGCTTTAGGAGCTCTGTGCCAGGAAATAGGGAAAAAGACTAAAATATACATTTTTTAATTATGAATCACAATATCATGTTCTTAAAACATATTTTAGCTGGAGGGATGTGTGTGTATGTGTGTGTGTATGTGCACTTTCTCTTAGTACACTTGAAAACACAATTTTGCTGTCATCCCACTTCTATTGCTGCTGTTGAGACCTGTTGAATGTATTGCTGCTCCTTTGAAGGTACTCTCTCTTTTCTCTCTGATTCCTTCTAAGATCTCTTTGCAATTGGTATTCTGCAGTTCCACTATGTTAAGTACTTTTCAGACTTACTGTATATGGATTTTTATCTTTTGAAAGTTTGTGAAAATGTTCAGCCATTATCTTATCAAATATGATATCTGTCTTATTATTTCTTTTCTTTGCTTCTGAAAGGTTTGTTACACCCATATTAAACTTTATTATTCTACATTTCTTGCTCCATAACTTTGCTTTCAAATGTTCCATGGCTTTCCCTTTCTATGCGGTATTTTGTGTAAATCAAGAGCTATACTCCTATTCACCAATTCTCTCTTTAGTCATGTCTAATATGGGTGGTGTCAAATTCATTGATGCAGATTTTTATTTCAATTATTACATTTATTTTTAGACATTCTATTTCATTCTCTTTCAAATCTCTTTAGACATTAAAGTTTGTCTATTTTTTAAACATTAAAAGAATTTTAATTCTGTGTCTGATAATTCCAGTATCTAAGGTCTTTGCAGGTCAGTTTCTATTGTTTGTTGTTTCTGCTTATTCACCTCATAGTACCTTGTTTCCTTAAATGTTTATTATATTCTTCTGTGAGCTACTTGTTTTCCTTGGAAATTTATTTGAGGAAATTCTTTGATGTCTGGAATTAAGGCAGATTCTTTCCTAAAGGATTTATACTTACTTTTGTCAGATGCCTGGGAAACCACTAGTCCAGCGTCCCTTGAAGCTAAATTTTCACCCTAAGTGTGTTGTTATTATTGTTGTTGTTTTAACTAGATAGTTTGAATCTGTGCTGCAAGTGAGACAGGAATTAAGCAGGACTTGTTTTACAGGACCCTGCTGATAAGACAATGTGCAAAAAAGAAGCTGGCCAAAACACATCAAAACCAAGACAGCAACAAAAGTGACCGCACTGCTCATGATACATTAATTGTAATATATTAGCATGCTAAAAGACACTCCCACCAATGCCATGACAGTTTACAAATGCCAAGGCAATACCCAGAAATTACCTTATATGTTCTAAAAGGAAAAAGAACCCTCAGTTCTGGGAAATCCTCACCCTTTCCCTGGAAAACTCATGAATAATCCACCACAGCTTCATTAAGTCATCAAGAAATAACCACACAAATAGCCAATCAGCAGGCTATAAGGGTTGCTCTGCCTATAATGTAGCCACGCTTTCATTCCTTTGCTTTCTTTATAAACTTGCTTTCACTTCACTTTGTCAGCTTGCTCTTGAATTCCTTCCTACGTGGAGTCAAGGACCCATGTGGCTTCCTGGGCTGAGCCCCACTTTTGGAGTTTGCCCTGAACCACAAGTGTGCGTGGTTACAACTTTGCAGAGGTGGGTTTTCCCAGCTCTGTCCTGCACCAGGGAGCTGGGCAATTTTCCTTGCAATGCTAAAGTGTGGTAATGGGAGAGGTGGGTATTGTTGATGGAATGAAAGCCAAACTCTGTACAATATTTAAAGAGGTTTATTCTGAGTCAAATACGAGTCACCATGGCCTGTAGCACAGCCTCAAAAAGTCCTGAGAACACATGCTCAAGGTGGCTGGGTTACAGCTTGGTTTTATACATTTTAGAGAGACAGAAATTATAGGCTAAGACATAAATTAATACATGTAAGGTATACATTGGTTTGGCCCAGAAAGGTGGGACATCTCAAAGTGGGAACTTACAGGTCATAGGTGGATTCAAAGATTCTCTAATTGGCAATTGGTTGAAAGAGCTAAGCTCTGCCTAAAGAGTTGAAGTCAGCAGAAAGAAATGCTTGAGTTAAGATAAGGAGTGTGGTATAGGCCAAGGTTCTTGTTATGTAGATGAAGCTTCCAGGTAGCAGGCTTCAGAGAGAATAGATTGTAAATGTCTCCTTTTGGATCTTAAAAGGTGTCAGATTCTCAGTTAAATCTCTTTTTGATCAGGAAAAGACCTAGAAAGGGAAGGTGCTTCTCTACAAAATGCAGATTTCCCCCACAAAAGAAGGCTTTGCAGGACCACTTCAAAATACATCAAAGAAATAGACTTTGGGGCAAAATATTTTCATTTCCTTTAGGGCATGTTGTCATGTGATGCCATACAAGAGTCATTTCAGAATTTGGTATCTTATTGCCACAAAAAGTCTGTTTTGTCCATCTTATGATCTCTATTTTAATGCTAATTCTGGTCAGTTGTGCCTAAACTCCAAAGGGAAGGGTATAACGCATCTGACCTCCCTTCCCATCATAGCCTGTGTCAGGTCTCTGAGCCCAAGCCAAGCCATCGCATCCCCTGTGACTTGCACATATATGCCCAGATGGCCTGAAGTAACTGAAGAATCACAAAAGAAGTGAAAAGGCCCTGCCCTGCCTTAACTGATGACATTCCACCATTGTGATTTGTTCCTGCCCCACCTTAACTGAGTGATTAACCCTGTGAATTTCCTTCTCCTGGCTCAGAAGCTCCCCCACTGAGCACCTTGTGACCCCCGCCCCTGCCCACCAGAGAACAACCCCCTTTGACTGTAATTTTCCATTACCTTCCCAAATCCTATAAAACGGCCCCACCCCATCTCCCTTTGCTGACTCTCTTTTCAGACTCAGACCACCTGCACCCAGGTGAAATAAACAGCTTTATTGCTCACACAAAGCCTGTTTGGTGCTCTCTTCACATGGACATGCATGAGATTTGGTGCCGTGACTCGGATCAGGAGACCTCCCTTGGGAGATCAATCCCCTGTCCTGCTGCTCTTTGCTCCGTGAGAAAGATCCACGTACAACCTCAGGTCCTCAGACCAACCAGCCCAAGAAACATCTCACCAATTTCAAATCTGGTAAGCAGCCTCTTTTTACTCTCTTCTCCAACCTCCCTCACTATCCCTCGACCTCTTTCTCCTTTCAATCTTGTTGCCACACTTCAATCTCTCCCTTCTCTTGATTTCAATTCCTTTCACTTTCTGGTAGAGATAAAGGAGACACATTTTATCCGTGGACCCAAAACTCCGGCGCCGGTCACGGACTAGGGAAAGCAGCCTTCCCTTGGTGTTTAATCATTGCAGGGATGCCTCTCTGATTATTCACCCAGGTTTCAGAGGTGTCAGACCACGCAGGGATGCCTGCCTTGGTCCTTCACCCTTAGCAGCAAGTCCCACTTTTGTGGGGAAGGGGCAAGTACCCCAACCCCTTCTCTCCATGTCTCTACCTCTTCTCCACCTTTCTGGGGGGCAAGAAATCCCCAACCCCTTCTCCTTCACCCTTAGCAGCAAGTCCCACTTTTCTGGGGGAGGGGCAAATACCCCAACCCCTTATATCTCTGTGCCCCGATCCCTTATTTCCACGCCCCAACCTCTTATATCTCTGTGCCCTGATCCCTTATTTCCACACCCCAACCTCTTATATCTCTGCGCCCTGATCCCTTATTTCCACAGCCTGACCTCGTATCTCTGTGCCCTGACCCCTTTCCAGCTTTTCTGGAGGGTAAGAACCCCCAAACCCCTTCCCTCTCTGTCTCTACTCTCTCTTTTCTTTAGACTTGCCTCCTTCACTATAGGCAACCTTCCACCCTCCATTCCTCCTTCTTCTCCCTTAGCCTGTGTTCTTAAGAACTTAAAACCTCTTCAACTCTCACCTGACTTAAAACCTAAATGCCTTATTTTCTTCTGCAATGCTGCTTGACCCCAATACAAACTCGACAGTAGTTTCAAATAGCTGGAAAATGGCACTTTCAATTTTTCCATCCTACAAGATCTAAATAATTCTTGTCGTAAAATGGGCAAATGGTCTGAGGTGCCTGACATCCAGGCATTCTTTTACACATCAGTCCCTTCCTAGTCTCTGTGCCCAGTGCAACTCGTCCCAAATCTTCCTTCTTTCCCTCCCTCAGTCCCAACCCCAAGCATCACTGAGTCTTTCTAATCTTCCTTTTCTACAGACCCATCTGACCTCTCCCCTCCTCACCAGGCCGAGCTAGGTCCCAATTCTTCCTCAGCCTCTGCTCCTTCACCCTATAATCTTTTTATCACCTCCCCTCCTCACACCTGGTCCGGCTTACAGTTTCCTTCCATGACTAGCCCTCCCCCACCTGCCCAGCAATTTACTCTTAAAAAGGTGGCTGGAGCTAAAGGCATAGTCAAAGTTAATGCTCCTTTTTCTTTATCCCAAATCAGATAGCGTTTAGGCTCTTTTTCATCAAATATAAAAATCCAGCCCAGTTCATGGCTTGTTTGGTGGTAACCCTGAGAGGCTTTACAGCCCTAGACCCTAAAAGGTCAAAAGGCCATCTTATTCTCAATATACATTTTATTACCCAATCTGCTCCCGACATTAAATAAAACTCCAAAAATTAGAATCTGGCCCTCAAACCCCACAACAGGACTTAATTAACCTCACCTTCAAGGTGTACAATAATAGAAAAAAGTTGCAATTCCTTGCCTCCACTGTGAGACAAACCCCAGCCACATCTCCAGCACACAAGAACTTCCAAATGCCTGAACCACAGCAGCCAGGTGTTCCTCCAGAACCTCCTCCCCCAGGAGCTTGCTACAAGTGCCAGAAATCTGACCCCCAGGCCAAGGAATGTCTGCAGCCCAGGATTCCCCCTAAGCCATGTCCCATCTGTGCGGGACCCCACTGGAGATCAGACTGTTCAACTCACCTGGCAGCCACTCCCAGAGCCCTGAGAACTCTGGCCCAAGGCTCTCTGACTGACTCCTTCTCGGCTTAGCGACTGAAGAGTGACGCTGCCTCATCGCCTTGGAAACCCCCTGGACCATCACGGACGCCAAGCTTTGGGTAACTCTCACAGTGGAGGGTAAATCCATCCCCTGTTTAATCGAAACGGGGACTACCCACTCCACGTTGCCTTCTTTTCAAGGGCCTGTTTCCCTTGCCTCCATAACTGTTGTGGGTATTGACAGCCAGGCTTCTAAACCTCTGAAAACTCCCCAACTCTGGTGCCAACTTAGACAATGCTCTTTTAAGCACTCCTTTTTAGTTATCCCCACCTGCCCAGTTCCCTTATTAGGCCGAGACACTTACTAAATTATCTGCTTCCCTGACTATTCCTGGACTACAGCTGCATCTCATTGCCACCCTTCTCCCCAACCCAAAGCCTCCTTTGCGTCTTCCTCTCATATCCCCCCACCTTAACCACAAGTATAGGACATCTCTACTCCTTCCCTGGCAACCGATCACATGCCCATTACCATCCCACTAAACCTAATCACCCTTACCCCACTCAACGCCAATATCCCATCCCACCGCACGCTTTAAAAGGATTAAAGCCTGTTATCACTGACCTGCTACAGCATAGGCTTCTAAAACCTATAAACTCTCCTTACAATTCCCCCATTTTACCTGTCCAAAAACCCGACAAGTCTTACAGATTAGTTCAGGATCTGCGCCTTACCAACCAAATTGTTTTGCCTATCCACCCTGTGGTGCCCAACCTGTACACTCTTTTGTCCTCAATACCTTCCTCCACAACTCACTATTCTGTGCTTCATCTTAAAGATGCTTTTTTCACTATTCCCCTGCACCCCTCATCCCAGCCTCTCTTTGCTGTCACCTGGACTGACCCTGACACCCAACAGTCCCAGCAGCTTACCTGGGCTGTGCTGCCGCAAGGTTTCAGGGACAGCCCTCATTTACTTCAGCCAAGCTCTTTCTCATGATCTACTTTCTTTCCACCCCTCTGCTTCTCACCTTATTCAATATATTGATGACCTTCTTCTTTGTAGCCCCTCCTTTGAATCTTCTCAACAAGACACACTTCTGCTTCTTCAGCATTTATTCTCCAAAGGATATCAGGTATCCCCCTCCAAAGCTCAAATTTCTTCTCCATCTGTTACCTATCTCTGCATAATTCTCATAAAAACACACATGCTCTCCCTGCTGATCATGTCCAATTAATCTCCCAAACCTCAATCCCTTACAAAACAACAACTCCTTTCCTTCCTAGGCATGGTTAGTGCCGTCAGAATTCTTACACAAGAGCCAGGACCGCACCCTGTAGCCTTTCTGTCGAAACAACTTGACCTTACTGTTTTAGCCTAGCCCTC
This sequence comes from Homo sapiens, assembly GCF_000001405.40. Classification (NCBI taxonomy): domain Eukaryota; kingdom Metazoa; phylum Chordata; class Mammalia; order Primates; family Hominidae; genus Homo; species Homo sapiens. Next base: position 230,605,020 of record NC_000001.11, read on the forward strand.
ATGTCTGTGTGCAGCAGCTGCTGCTGCTTTAATAATTTTAGAGGCCCTAAAAATCACAAACAATGCTCAACTCACTCTCTACATTTCTCATAACTTCCAAAATCTATTTTCTTCCTCATACCTGACGCATATACTTTCTGTTCCCCAGCTCCTTCAGCTGTACTCACTCTTTGTTAAGTCCCACAATTACCATTGTTCCTGGCCTGGACTTCAATCCAGCCTCCCACAGTATTCCTGATACCACACCTGACCCTCATGATTGCATCTCTCTGATCCACCTGATGTTCATCCTATTTCCCCACATTTCCTTCTTCCCTGTTTCTCACCCTGATCACGCTTGATTTATTGATGGCAGTTCCACCAGGCCTAATCACCACACATCAGCAAAGGCAGGCTATGCTATAGTACAAGCCACTAGCCCGCCTCTTTGAACCTTTCATTTCCTTTCCATTGTAGAAATCTATCCTCAAGGAAATAACTTCTCAAGTGTTCCATCTGCTATTCTATCTGCTATTCTACTACTCCTCAAGGATTATTCAGGCCCCCTCCCTTCCCTACACATCAAGCTCAAGGTTTTGCCCCCACCCAGGACTGGCAAATTAGCTTCACTCAACATGCCCCAAGTCAGATAACTAAAATACCTCTTAGTCTAAGTAGACACTTTCACTAGATAAGTAGAGGCCTTTCCTACAGGGTCTGAGAAGGCCACCACAGTCATTTCTTCCCCTCTGTCAGACATAATTCCTCAGTTTAGGCTTCCCACCTCTATACAGTCTGATGACAGACCAGCCTTTACTAGTCAAATCACCCAAGCAGTTTCTCAGGCTCTTGGTATTCAGTGGAACCTTCATATCCCTTACCATCCTCAATCTTCAGGAAAGGTAGAATGGACTAATGGTCTTTTAAAGGTAAACCTCACCAAGCTCAGCCTCCAACTTAAAAAGGATTGGACAGTACTTTTACCTCTTGCTCTTCTCAGAATTAGAGCCTGTCCTTGAGATGCTACAGGGTACGGTCCATTTGAACTTTTATATGGACACACTTTCTTGCTTGGCCCCAACCTCATCCCAGACACCAGCCCTCTAGGTGACTATCTTCCAGTCCTCCAGCAGGCTAGACAGGAAATTCACCAGGCTGCTAATCTTCTCTTGCCTACTCCAGATCCCCAGCCATATGGAGACATCCTAGCTGGATGATCAGTTCTTGTTAAGAATCTGACCCCTCAAACTCTACAACCTCGATGGACCGGATGCTACCTCGTCTTCTATAGTACCCCGACTGCCGTCTGCCTGCAGGATCCTCCCCACTAGGTTCACCATTCCAGAATAAAGCTGTGTCCATCGGACAGCCAGCCTAATCCCTCCTCTTCCTCCTGGAAGCCGCAAGTACTCTCCCCTACTTCCCTTAAACTCACTCATATTTCTGAAGAGCAGTAATAACCCTTATGAGCCTAATACATCCCTTCATTCTATTAGGTCTGTTCGTCCTTACCCTACTTTTTGCAACAGGGCTTTACGAAGTCACCCCAACCACTTAGGCCGAGCCCAAAAAAACTAGTCATCCCTACTATCTTCTGTCTGGTCATACTCCTATTCTCCATTCTCAACTACTTATAAATGCCCTACTCTTCTTTACACCGCCGGTTTACACTGTTTCTTCAAGCCATCACAGCTGATATCTCTTGGTGCTAACCCCAAACTGCCACTCTTAACTCCCTCTTAGAGTGGGTAGATGATCTTTGCTGGCAAGGCACCCTCCAATACTTCCACCCTGATGAAGTTCTATTCTTTACTTTTATACTCACTCTTATTCTCGTTCCCATTCTTATGCCACCCTCTACCTCTCCCCAGCTATCTCCACCACACTATCAACCTTACCCATTCTCTCCTAGCCACTTCTAGTCCCTCCTTAGTGAACAACTGCTGGCTTTGCATTTCCCTTTCTTCCAGTGCCTACACAGCTGTCCCCGCCTTACAGACAGACTGGGCAATATCTCCCGTCTCCCTACACCTCTGAACTTCCTTTAGCAGCCCTCATCTTTACCCTCCTGAAGAACTCATTTACTCTCTAGACAGGTCCAGCAAGACTTCCCCAGACATTTCACATCAGCAAGCTGCCGCCCTCCTTCGCACTTATTTAAAAAACCTTTCTCCTTATATTAACTCTACTCCCCCCATATTCGGACCTCTCACAACACAAACTACTATTCCTGTGGCCGCTCCTTTATGTATCTCTCAGCAAAGACCCACTGGAATTCCCCTAGGTAATCTTTCACCCTCTCGATGTTCCTTTACTCTTCATCTCCGAAGCCCAATTACACACATCACTGAAACAATTGGAGCCTTCCAGCTCCATATTACAGACAAGCCCTCTATCAATACTGATAAACTTAAAAATGTTAGCAGTAATTATTGCTTAGGAAGACACTTACCCTGTATTGAACTCCATCCTTGGCTACCTTCCCCTTGCTCATCAGACTCTCCTCCCAGGCCCTATTCTTGTTTACTTATATCCAGCCCCGAAAATAACAGTGAAAGGTTGCTCATAGATACTCAATGTTTTCTCATACACCATGAAAATTGAACCTCCCCCTCTACGCAGTTACCCCATCAGTCCCCATTACAACCTCTGACAGCTGCCGCCCTAGCTGGATCCCTAGGACTCTAGGTACAAGACACCCCTTTCAGCACTCCTTCTCATCTTTTTACTTTACATCTCCAGTTTTGCCTTGCACAAGGTCTCTTCTTCCTCTGTGGTTCCTCTACCTACATGTGTCTACCTGCTAATTGGACAGGCACATGCACACTAGTCTTCCTTTCCCCCAAAATTCAATTTGCAAATAGGACCGAAGAGCTCCCTGTTCCCCTCATGACACCGACATGACAAAGAAGAGTTATTCCACTAATTCCCTTGATGGTCGGTTTAGGACTTTCTGCCTCCACTATTGCTCTCAGTACTGGAATAGCAGGCATTTCAACTTCTGTCTCGACCTTCCGTAGCCTCTCTAATGACTTCTCTGCTAGCATCACAGACATGTCACAAACTTTATCAGTACTCCAAGTTGACTCTTTAGCTGCAGTTGTCCTCCAAAACCGCCGAGGCCTTGACTTACTCACTGCTGAAAAAGGAGGACTCTGCATATTCTTAAATGAAGAGTGTTGTTTTTACCTAAATCAATCTGGCCTGGTGTATGACAACATAAAAAAACTCAAGGATAGAGCCCAAAAACTTGCCAACCAAGCAAGTAATTATGCTGAACCCCTTAGGCACTCTCTAATTGGATGTCCTAGGGCCTCCCAATTCTTAGTCCTTTAATACCCATTTTTCTCCTTCTTTTATTCGGACCTTGTATCTTCCATTTAGTTTCTCAATTCATCCAAAACCGTATCCAGGCCATCACCAATCATTCTATACAAGAAATGTCTCTTCTAACATCCCCACAATATCACCCCTTACCACAAGACCTCCCTTCAGCTTAATCTCTCCCACTCTAGGTTCCCACGCTGCCCCTAATCCCGCTTGAAGCAGCCCTGAGAAACATCGCCCATTCTCTCTCCATACCACCCCCCAAAAATTTTTGCCACCCCAACACTTCAACACTATTTTGTTTTATTTTTCTTATTAATATCAGAAGGCAGGAATGTCAGGTCTCTGAGCCCAAGCCAAGCCATCGCATCCCCTGTGACTTGCATGTATACGCCCAGATGGCCTGAAGTAACTGAAGAATCACAAAAGAAGTGAAAAGGCCCTGCCACGCCTTAACTGATGATATTCCACCATTGTGATTTGTTCCTGCCCCACCTTAACTGAGTGATTAACCCTGTGAATTTCCTTCTCCTGGCTCAGAAGCTCCCCCACTGAGCACCTTGTGACCCCCGCCCCTGCCCACCAGAGAACAACCCCCTTTGACTGTAATTTTCCATTATCTTCCCAAACCCTATAAAGCGGCCCCACCCCTATCTCCCTTCGCTGACTCTCTTTTCAGACTCAGACCACCTGCACCCATGTGAAATAAACAGCTTTATTGCTCACACAAAGCCTGTTTGGTGGTCTCTTCACACGGATGCGCATGAAAGCCTGAACTAGTTTTTCAGGTTTTATTGGGATTCTCTTGTCCAAGGGTGGAGGGGTCATTCAGTCAGTTGGGAGGCTAAGAATTTTCTTTTGGTTTACAATATGTTTCCAGGCCAAGCCTACACTAAGGGTGGGGTTCTTCAGGGTACCATCTTTGAGGGAAGAGGGTCTCCCAGGATGTCCCACTTTGCTGTCCCATGCTTTGCCTCCTGCCTCTGGTGCTCCCAGAGGCAATGAAAGCTGAAGCTCAGAATCAGCAAGCTTGGCAAATGTCCCCCAGCTAAAAGCTGACTCTGTTTGCTTCTTTCGGTTCCCACTTCCCCTCAGATTTTGCCCTGTGTATTTCTTGGTTTCTTGCCAGCTCATCAGTGCTTTTAAGAAGGCTCTGATTTTCAAACTTTTTAGTTATTTTCAGCAGAAAGGATGATTTGGCTAACTAGATTGCCATATTGCCAAAAGAGATCCCCGCAGAGCTTGTTTTTGTGAAACATAAAGAGAAGAAAATGATGTTTAATATGATGCACAGGTTCGTAAATAATGCTCTGCTATTATTCTTGTGAACAGGTATTTCAATCATCTTACGTGAATCTTACGTGAGTCAAGCACAAAGTGACTTTTCCTTTCTTCTCAGGTAGCATGAAGTGTTACAAGTCAAGCGTATGACTTTCTTTAAAAAGAGATAAAAAGACATGTGAAGAAGGAAATGGATTACAGCAATCAAAGAAGGGTTATTTCCCTTGGGTTAGAATTATAAAATTTCCAAGTGAAGATGAGTAAGTCTATACTAGTGTCGAACAAGTATAGGAGTAAAAACAAATAATCCTGAATAAATAACATGAACCTTTTGACACTCTTAAATTGGCCTTATTTTTAAAAAATAGGTAGAGTTTATCTGCTAACTTTTCCCTAAGTACAGACACAAAAAGGAAACTAAGCAGGAATCCTTTTCTCTTTCAGATGTAAACATGATTTTTGTCTAGTGAAAGTGGTAGGCACCAGAACGAAGTTCTCCTAACTTACCAAAAAATAAGCAAAAACACCTGAGTGAGCATCTTCTTTCCAAGGAAGCATATGCTAAGTCACTCCCCCGTGTATGGATGGCTCCCCTCAGAGACAGGTAGACATGGAGCTTCCTTCCTTTGAGGAGAACAAGAGGTAAACAGCAGGTGCCACCAGCCTGGCCTTGGATGCAGGAGACCACTAGGTGGGCTCAAGGCCTTATTTTCAAAATTATGAATTGAATTTGATGACCATTAGGGTCTCTCTCAGATTATTAGAATGAATAAACAATAGGGAGCTTTTGTTTATTTTGTTCTTGCAGGTCCGAGGCTCCCATCTAAACATCAGCTGTTCTGAAGCTCCTTGCACATGCTGGGGAAAGCTGCCCTGTCTGTCCTTCCTCTGCAAGCTCTCTGCATACACCTTGGCCTCTCCCACAGTCCAGTCCAGCACCCCTTTGGCCCTGTTCTCAGTGAGGGAGAAGGGAAGGAAAAATCATATGGGAAAAATTCAGACTGCAGAAGTGGCCTGCCTGAAAAGTCACAGCAACAGGAAAAAATAAAATAACCTGGAAAAAAACTCAGGCTGCACCTGCAAACAGATAAGCAAACAGGGTCCAGCTCAAAAGCTCTTTGTTCTTTGTACAATTAGTGAGCTCCCAGGAAAAAGTTTCCTCCCCTTTACAGGCATATACATGGTGGGAACTTGCACAGGGAGGGAGGGGGCTTACCTAAAACAAACCCACAGTTATACAAACAAGAGAAGTGGGGCTTTGTGCTTGCCTAGAGACATACCCACAGCTGCATAAGAGAAGAAGAATTGCACAGACAGCTTTACTGGTAAGAAAAGTTATTCCAACAGTTACAGGGAAGAGAGCAGTTTCTTATAAAACGCTTTTAAATTCAGCTGTAACCCGGCAATCCACTTGGACTCCCCTCTCTGCTGCAGAAAGCTTTCTTTTTTGCTTATTAAACTTTGACTCCACCCCGACCCTTGTGTCTGCATTCCTTAATTTTCTTGGACATAGGACGAAGAACCCCAGGGAAACATACGTTGGTGAGACTGCAGCATCAGCATGGCGGCGCAGTATTAGCTCAGATAGATTCCATCCCCTAGGATATTTCTATAGAAGAACCTTTGTGAGAGACTAAATGGCTATGGGAAGAGGGTTTTCTAAATGCAGTGGGGTTTGGGAATGGAGATGTTAGGCTCACCTTTGACCCTGAGCTAGGCAAGTGGCCAGAGGGATGAGAAAGGATGGATTATCTAGGTCTAAACTATTAATAATATCCTCATATTGGAAACTGGCCATGGCTTTCATAGCTTCTCTCACTCAAATTTGTATTACATGCCATGGCCAGTTTAATCTTCCAAACGTTGTTATTACCACCTAACTCTCCTGTCTCAAATCATTCGTGGCTGCGTTCTGCTTGTACAATAAAGTCAAAATACCTTAGCTTGGCTGGCATGGTCCTCTGGGAGTGAGCACTAATTTATATCTTCCCAAAGTCCTGCTGTTCTAGAAATGCCTGAATCCTCACCTACCCTTGAGCTTCCCACTTTGTACATGTTTTTCCACTTAATTCTTTCTATAAAATACAGTGGGGCTTTGTTCTGAATTTGGCTCCTTAAGAAGAGGAAATGTTTCAGGACAAAGGCAGACAGCTGTCTCTGCTATTAAGGCTCTTTGATTTGGCTCAGTACATTCCAATCTTGCTTCTGTAAACCATCCTCATTTGCAATCGTGTTATCCACCACCTGAGTCCCACTGTGGTTACCTAGTTCTAATCTCTCCACCTGATTCTGGGGCATTTCAAGGTCTAAGTGGCAGCAGTAGGATGCCTTTCTTTCACTTGAAAGTTTTTAGTTTATTAATCCACACAATGTCTGCAGATAACATAATTGCAGCATCTTTACTCCTTTGGCTTTTTGCCAGCACCAACATTGGCCTTTGCCAACCCCCTGAGCTTTTTCATTCTATTCTTGCATTCGTCTCACTGCTTTCTTGAGGTCTTTTTCTTCTCATGGAGGCAGGCCATGTCTTGCAAGTCTATGTTTGGGTTCATGGTTTTTTACATAATCCAAAAAAATCATAAATCACACCAAAGTCAGCTATCTTGCCACCACCAAAATAAGTTCTGAATCCAAATACAAAGATGACATCCAGTGTGGTCTTGTATATTTTGACTAATTTTTCCAGAATTTCTGTCTTTGGTACTGTTGCCTTCCCAGTGTTAAGGATATCTATGACCATTTGTTTCCTTTGAAGTAGTTGGTTGGTCATGAGTTCCCTGGTCCAGATAGTTACTGTGTCATTCATGATGGCAGGTGATCTGCAGGCAACCGGGGAAGAAAACTCAGGAGGATGCTTTAAATCAGATGAGTCTATCTCTTTCTGAGCCCCAGATTGACACTGACCTAGTGTGTGTGTGTGTGTGTGTGTGTGTGTGTGTGTGTGTGTGTGTGTGTACATACATACACATTTTATGTGGTATTCATTAATTCTATCTATGGCTATGTAACAAATTACCCCCAAACTAACAGCTCAAAACAAGAAATATTTAAGTAATTATTATTTCACACAGTTTCTGAGGGTCAGAAATTTATAGGCAGCTTAGTTGGATGGTTCTCTCTTAGGGTCTTTCATGAGGTTGCTATCAAACTCTCAGCTGGGGCTGAAGTCATCTGAAGGCTGGGCGATTCACTTTCAAATTCATTTGTGTGATTATTGGCAAGTCTCCATTCTCTGCAGGGCCTCAGTTCCTCACCACATGAGCCTCTCTCTACAGGTTGCCTGGGTATCCTCAAAAGCCAATGATGAGAGAGAGAGAGAACAAAACAGGAGCTGCAGTGTCTTTTGACCTTAATCTTGGAATTGGTACATCATCATTTCTGCCATATCCTATTGGTCACACAGATCTGGGAGGGTACTATGGAAGGGTGTTCACACAAGGACAGACGGATGTTTGTGGTCATTTTGGCGGCTGGCTTCCACACCCAGCCATGTTTTTATGCCTCCCCATACACATTCTAACATCTTTGAAATCGGAGTGCATCTTATAATCAATGGTATGTCATAGTTTAATTGGCAAAACCTCTAGTTAGTGGTATATAAAGTAATCACGTGTCTTATAATTGTATCTTATTCAGGGAACTATCCCATAGGGATAGGAGGCTTCCTGACTCCTGGCTACCAGTCTCGCCCATGTTGCTCATGGTCCCATGGAAAGTCTAGTTGCTGTCCCACCATATGATGCTCAGCTTCTTTTCTACACCCTTGCACACACCAGTCCTTCTGAGGTGTCTTCTTCATAACTTAAATGACTACATCAGGCCTAATTCCTCCAGAAGCTTTCCCTGGCCACCCTAGAGCACCATAGTCTCAGTATGCTCTGTAGTCCCATAACACTGTTAATGATTCCATCCATTCGGTGTTTAATTTTGTACCTTGCAGTAATTGTTGAGGTTTCATGTGTACCTACTTCACATGTACGTGCTGTGTATATATCCAGTGTGAATACTAAATGTTGCTGTATGCATTTGGAGTCCTGTTTTATTTTTAAAGCAGAATTTTGGGACTCTTCATAAAACAATAACAACAAATCTCTGCTCCTTGGGTGAAATTTTATAACTAATCTGATAGACAAAATTATAATAATCAGAAATGTACAACTATACAAAAATGTATAAGTCAAAGATGCAAAGGCTGATTTAGAGCACCTCAGTTTCCAACAGTTCATCTACTTCATGACTGTTTTGTTCTCTGTAACATCTAAGTTATAAGATTTATTTGAACATGACTTCTGTGCATTCCATTGCACCATGTGGTGGGGAGAAAGGTGTCTGGTCTATTTTTGCCCACAAAAATAGGAATTTTTTCTGGAAACAGGGTTAGGAACAAAAGATCAGTACCTAACAAAGCTCTTGTAAGTGGTTTAACTTATTGTCTTATAATATTTTTCAGGATTCATTGAAACAAGTGAATTGATTTCATCTATCTATCTATCTATCTAAGTTAAGGGAGGTTCAACAGAATGCATATTATAAGAAAAAAATGTTAAGGGAGGGTAACATATATGAACTTCAAATAAAACTAACTAGAAATCCAGCAGACAGTATTGCTAAATTTGGGGATTTTCTTTCAGTTCCTTGGATCATTTACCATCCGCTTCCTCATAAAACAAGCAGTTCAGGATTGTTGCTGGAAATGCGTTGGTAAGGCCCAGCCCAGCTCTACTCTGTCACTGGCTCAGAAGCACCTCTATCACCAGATATATATATAAGAAAAAATGAATCATCACTTCTACCTCATATCACATCCAAAAATTATCTAGAAATGGAATATAGGCTTACACACAAAAGCTAAAATTATAAAACCTCTTTAAAAAGCATAGAGCAAAAATCGTTATATATTTGGGATAGGCAAAATGGGTTAGGCCAGGTAGACTGTTCATTGGGCACCACTTTTCAATTCAGAGGGGCAGGAAGTAAGGCGTTCCCTTTCGGTCTTGGGTCTAAGCTGTACTGACCCACCTAGCCCTAAATACCTGACACATTTAACTGAATTTGGTTGGTATCTATTCTCAGTATAGGTTAGAGCCCAGAAAAGGGGATGATTCACTGGCACCTACTCTGACATCTAAGAGTGCATGGATCTAATGTTCTTTAGTTCTTCCAGCCTTGGAATAACTATCTTACAGATGACATTACAAGGTTGGATGAGATAGTGTCTATAAAACACTCTGAGATCTCTAGAAGAATGATGTCTAAAATTCACAAGGGATCACTACAGGTAACTACTCTTCACAAGAATATGTTCTGACTTGTCGTTTCCAAGAGTCTGTCTTCCATATGTCTTGGGATGTCTGTTGTCTTACTCTATTTTGTGCTGCTGTAACAGAATGCCACAGAATTGGTAATTTATAATGAACAGAAATGTATTTCTCACAGTCCTGGAAACTGGGAAGTCCAAGATTGAGGCATTGGTATCTGGCGAGGGCCTTCTTGCTGCATCATACCATGGTAGAAGGCAGAAGGGCAAAGAGAGGGAGAGAGAGAAAGAGGCACACACTCATCCTTTTCAGGGTCAAATTCATCCTTTTATAATAAGCCCATTCCCACAATGCTGTAGTTTGAATGTGTCTCCCAAAGTTCACATGTGGGAAACTTAATTTCCAGTGTAACAGTGTTGAGAAGAGGGGTCTTTAAGAGGTTATTAGCTCATGAGGGCTCTGTGCTCATGAATAGATTAATGCTATTATTGAAGGAGTGGGTTAGTTATTGTGGGAGTAGGTTCCTGATAAAAGGCTGAGTTTGGCCCCTTTCCTCCTTTCTCTCACCCATGTGGTGACTTTCATCATGTGCAGGAAGGCCCTCACCAGATAATGGCACCCTGTTACTGGACTTCCCAGCCTCCAGAACTGTGAGAAATAAATTTCTTTATAAATTACCATCTGGGGTAGACTTTTAGAGCAACACAAAACAAACTAAAATGTGTGATAATGAACCCACTCCCATAATAATGACATTAATCCATAAGGGCAGAGCCCTGATGGTGTAGTCACCTCTCATTAGACCCCAACACTGTTGCACTAGGAATTAAGTTTCCAACATATGCTTTTTGGGGGACACATTTAAACCATAGCATCTGTGTTTAAACATTTATAGTTAGTTTCAGGGTTGGTGGATGACTCAGGGAGCTGGTAGATTAACACAATATACGTGATATACCCTGCCTGTTCTGTGCCCTCTGCCTTCCTCCCTATTGTCTAGCTCCCCTTGAGCATGATGACAGGCAAAATTTGTTCAAATAAAGCAATTGGAGAAGTCTTCTGTTAACTTGGTCCCTGAGTGTCTAAGTCCCTGAAACATGAAATGGAGACATGTCTTCAACTTAACAACATCACAGCCTCCATCCCTTGCACACCATGGGAAGCATTAATCATATTCATTAGGGATCTAGTTGCAGAATATATATATCAAAGGAGGAGGACAGAAGTGAGGGAAAACAATTATGTTTAACGAATGAACTAAAACAATTATGCAGCCACCCACTGAGTAGAGAGCTTTGAGCTCTGCTTCAAATGGGTTATGAAAAAACCAACTGAGAAACTGTATTGCAATTGAGCTGGACAGCTATTTCAGAGAACTCTTTCACAAGATAAGTCAACCAACATCACTGATTAGTGATGTCTAAAAGGTGCTCTGTTATTAGATCTCCTGTGAGTCTACAATTAACAATTTTCTGTAATTTTTAGAAGTTCAATAATAGCCATATGAAGACATTAAAATGCTGCCTCTGGTCATCTTGTGACAGTTACATTTGTTATAATTTTTGACAGCTCAGCATCTCCTGGCCACTCTTCCTATGTTGAGGAATCTCCCCTATTTCACCTTGCCTCCCCAAAGTAGGAACCAGAAATGTTCTTTCTCATCCTACCTTGGCAACTTTTGGAAACCCACCTCCTCATCATAGGCAAGACTTCCTATCATGTGACTGGAAAGAAACATCTATGACATTTATATTTATTCCATGACCCAGGTATCATTTTGTAGGCTGCCAAACATTCAGCCAGCAAGTGAATGGTCCATTTATTTGCAAGCTTGGGCTGATGCTTCTTACCTCTAAAAGCTAATAACTGTCATTGCTACCAAAGATTGGTACAGTTAAGCATGGGCATGTGTCCTAGGTCAATCAGACACATTCACATGAAGCTTCAATGGGGAAAGAAGAAACAGGTACCACGCAGACCTGTTTCTAAGAAGGATGGAGACTGAGTGTTGGAGCCTTACAGCAAGCATGACCATGGTTCTCTCCAGGCCCACAGTTGGGGTATCACTGCAGTGTTTCTCTGGAATGCTTTGTGGTGTAGCATGTCTGGCTCTGTTGGGGGCACAGCTATAAAACCTGACTTTGACCTTCCTGTGTTCTTTAAGGTCCCTGATACTCTTTAATAAAATTCTTTCCTGCTAGTTAGAATGCTGAGTGATACACAATGCTTTTTAGAAGCTAAATAAGAGGAGAACATGCGACTGTTTTAGAAAGCTGTTAAAAGTTCATGCCAGTTGGGCAGGCACGGTGGCTCACGCCTGTAATCCCAGCATTTTGGGAGGCCGAGGTGAACAGATCACCTGAGGTCAGGAGTTCGAGACCAGCCTGGCCAACATGGTGAAACCCTGTCTCTACTAAAAATACAAAAAATTAGCCAGGCGTGGTGGCATTTGTATGTAGTCCCAGCTATTCGGGAGGCTGAGGCAGGAGAATTGCTCGAACTCAGGAGGTGGAGGTTGCAGTGAGCCAAGATCACGCCACTGCACTCCAGCCTAGGTGACAGAGGGAGACTCAGTCTCAAAAAAAAAAAAAAAAAAAAAAGATTGTACCAATTGATGGTGGCAATGGCAGTACTCAGCTTTTAAAGATAAGAAGCATTGGCCCAAGCTTGCAAATAAACAGCTCACTCACTAGCCTGCTGAATGTTTGGCAATGTACAAAGTAATACATAGGTCACAGAATAAATGTCATAGATGTTGCTTTCTAGCCATATGATAGGAAGTCTTGCCCAGGATGAAGGGGTGGGTTTCTAAAAGTTGCCAACACCACTTTTAGTGTAGGAACTCATGGAAATAATCCCTGTGTCCTGTACTCTGACATTAGACATTGGTCCGTTGGGAGGGCAGAGAGACACTCAATTTGTGATCAGCCGCTGAAAGCTGCAGAAGACTTCAACTGAGTATAAATATGACCCGGGAGAGACAGTGCATGGAAGTGACAGACCTGTGCTATGATTTGAGCCCTTCAGCTAACCAGCTCAGAAAATATACCCTCCTTTCATCTGCAAGGAGTATAATACAGAGTGAAATGATTGTATAGGATTCCCCAGACAAATCCTTTACTGTAATGTCTTTCTACAAATATTAGGCTCTGAACAAACACATAGAGCGAGCCACCTGCAACTTGTCAAAACAGTTTATAATCTTTTGCCAAATATTGCTAAGTCCAGTTTATGGGCAGGTATTGATTTTTTTTAGGTAGACATACCTTAGACACCCTAATAAGTTCCCCTAAAGTTAATTTTGAGATTCTGTGCCAGGTAGGCTCTCTTGGGTCAAAGAAAGTCTACCAATCTCAGGAGATCAGAGCCTAGTGTAGGAAGACCTAGGGAAGCTGAGAAGAAGGTCTCCATGTTGGCTGCCACCCTGGCTGGCACTCAGGTACCTGAAGAGTTGTCTCTAGCCATGGGTTCTTTTGGGGTCACTCTCGCAGCAGGCACCTGCCTGGCTCTCATGCTCAGTCATTGCTGTTATTCAGTTCCATTGTCCCTTCTTCCTCCACTCCTGCACTGTGAATTACCTTCCCTCCTGTCTTCAGAATTCCCTCTAGTTTATGGCTTCTGCTTACTTATAAGCACGTCTGCCTTATGGTTTCAGTTGAGTGCCTTTTGTGTCTTTCAGCTTCTGCTCCTACTTCTGACTGCTAATATCGATGACACCAGTTATCTGCAAATTCCTCATAAGGGGCTCCAATGACTTCATTTAGCCACTCTGCACTGCAGACCCTATTAGTCAGAGCTCTCCAGCTGTCTTCCAGAATGCAGACTTGAGCCCAGATAATATGGTAGATATAGTGGTGTGCCTTGCTTCACCCAGCCAGTTCCCCTTTTGTGTTCCATATTGCACTACACCTCACAAATGGGTGCTTGTGCTGTACTCGTCAGCTCCTTCTCATATATTAGAGCACAGAAAAGAGATAGACAGCTAGCTTGTGAACATTCTGAACTTGCAAGTAACAAGTTGTGCAGAGAGTATCTGGGCAGATTGTATTTTCCAAAGATAACTACACCAATATAACCCATCCTGCATTTTCTCCTTAGAGTGGGAAGTTGACACTGTGGGACCATGGTCCTTCCTGTTGAATCTAAGCAGGCCTGTGACTACAGTGGAAGGGAAGCTACCTGACTTCCAAGGCTGACTCATAACAAGTGGTAAGTCTTCCACCTATCTTCTTGGGGCCCTTGCTCTTGGAATCCAACCATGACGCTTGTGGAGGTGTTTCAGCTCAGCCCTCATTGATGTCCTGGCTGACAGCCAGCATGAACCACCAGACACACGAGCATTCAGATGATTCCAGCCTTCAGCCCCCAAGCTGCCTCAGCTAATGGTGAGTGGAGCAGAGACAAACCATCTCCACCAAGTTAAGCACAAACTTGCAGATTTATAAGAAAAACAAAACCAACTCCATCTTAATCATTTAGGTTTGTGGTACTTTGTTACCCAGCACTAGACAAGTAAAAGTATCTCTTACTATCTCCCCAGTGATCTTATCCCATCCACAGATCCCCCTCTTTCCTGTATCCTCACCATCATCATCTCCACTGGCTCCTTAACTTCAGCCTTTAAATATACTTTAGCAGCTTCCAGCCTAAAGGAAGAAAAAAAAAATCTCTTTATCAAGTCAGATCCCTTCTTTCACTCTTACCAACTAGCTCTGTTCTTTCACATTCAAATTTACTATAATGATTATCTACTCAACGCAGCTACCTTCAAACTCCTCTGAGCTACTCTATTTACCAGAAGCAAGCATTTTCCCTCTGCCCAGTGAACTTCTAGTTCCAAAACCAATGGACGACACTCAATATTTATCTTCCTACTTGTCTAACACCACAAATCTCACTGTGGGATGTCATCTGCTCATTTGCTCCACTAATACCAAAATGGCTTCAACTCTTTACGTACTGATGTGCAACTCTTATGCACTAATGACTCGGGGCTGGAAAACAGCTGGGAGGAAAGACAGAAATGTAAACCAAAGAAAATGAGGCAAGTGTCAATCAATTTAGAGGTTTATTTTGCCAAGGTTGAGGATGTGCCTGGGAAAAAGGACACAAATCACAGGAACATCTGTGATTCATGCTTTTTCCAAACAGGGTTTGAAGACTTCAATATTTAAAGGGGAAAGAGTGGGCAGCAGAGGAAAGAAAAAGAATAAAAGGGGGGAAGGGTAGACAAAAGGTGGCAAGTGGTTTCTTTTGAGGTTCTACAGATCCCCATCTTTCCTGTATCCTCATCATCATCCTCTCCACTGGCTCCTTAATCTCAACCTTTAAATGTACTTTAGCAGCTTCCAGCCTAAAGGAAGAAAAAAAAATCTCTTTTTTTTTTCTCATTCTTTTTGAGGCTTTGATTAGCACTCACCAAATCCACATTTTATATGTTAAAGGAGTGGGTAGAGGAACACAGTCAACTATGCACTTGTCTCATGTTCAGTGAGTTTGCATTTTTATATAAAATAAAGTAAACAGAGAGCAGGGGAAGCAGTCATGAGACATGCATTTGTCTCAGGTGAGTGGAGGAGGGATTCCTAGTCCTGCCTGTCCTGCACCTGTGGAGATAAGCTCTTAATTTACATTGTCAGGGTGAAATTCACAAGAACTCTGTTTCAGAATAAAGATCTTAGGGCCCCCAAAGAATTTCCTCATGAGCAAATTGTGAGGGAGGCCACCTGGGGAGATATGTGGCCTTCTATATTTGCAGCTACCTACTTAGGAACAAAATGAAGGCAGTTTTTGCGTGACTCAGTTCCAAAGCTAAACTTTTCCCTTTGGCATAGTTTGGGGTCCTGAATTTTTTATTTTTCTTTCATGTAAACAAGTTAGGATTTATTGAAAGACTTCCAAGTGCCAGGTGCCTGTCTAAGCACTGTCAAGCAATAAAATTTCAACAAATTGAGTTTAATTATCTAACTGGCTTTTATTAGCAATTCATGAATTGGGCAGCATCCCATTTATGAAATAGAAAGGTGCTCTAATGAGCTGAGCAGAGGAAGTTGGCTTTATGGAGAGCAAATGACGGAAGAAAGCAAAAACAAGGAACAAAAAACAGATTGTTCATTTTAAAATTATTTTCCTTGTAGGGTTAAGGCAGATGGGAATTCATTATCATGCTGCCTCAGGCTGACCAGGACCCTTTGGATTGATTGCTGTGAATCTTGTTGTTTAGGAAAATGTCCCATATATAAGTTCAGCTTCATTACATGGCACTCAGCATGAGTGACTCCATTCTGGTTTGGTCTGGTCTGGTCTGCTGGGGATTAGTGCATGAGTTCAGTCAAAAACTGTGGCCTCCCATAAATTTCATTTCACAGCGCTTTTGCCTAGGTTGACAGTAAAGAAGGAAAAGTGTAGTAGAAATGTGGTAGCTGGCCCTGAGCTGGCCCCCAGAGATCCTCACTCCTGGAATCCATGCCCCTATGTGGTCCCTTTTCACAGTGAATAGAACCAACCTGTGTGACCAATAGGATACTGCAGAAGTGGTGGTGTGTGGCTTCTAAGAATAAGTAATAAAATGCATTGCAGCTGCTGCCTTGGCTTCTGGGGAAGCCAGCTGCTGCATGGTTAGATCACTCTGCAGCAAGACCCCCACAGAGTGCAACTGAGGCCTCCACAACAGCTGGCACCAGTGTGACAGTCACGGGAATAAACTACCCTGGAAGTGGATCCCGTCACTCCAAACAAGCCTTCAGATGGCTGCCAGCTGAGCCAACATCCAACTGAGCCTCATGAAAAATCCCAGACATGGTGAGAAATAATAATGAGTATTGTTTTAGGCTACTGAATTTGGGGGTATTGATTATGCAGCAATAAACAATTACTATAAGAAGTTGCGTTCTACAGTCAGAGGAGCCTGTGTTTCATTTCCACTCGATCACATGGCCACATGTTAACTTCCCCAAGCCTGAGTTTCCTCCTGCATAAATGACAGCACCCACTTCCTACTGTCATTTCGAGGATTATATTAGATAATCCATGCAGAATGCTAAGCATGATGCCTGACATACAGTAAGCTTGCTGCAAATGTTAGCTATCATTATGATTATTACTCCAGCTCTACCTATTCAAATTTTTGTGCGGTTATCAAGACGTGATTCTTACAACAGTGTTTGAACATAAAAGAAGTGATAGTAATGAAGGGACCCACTTGGATCCACCAAGATGGCATAAAGATTACTTTAAACTGAAGACATTTGAAATATAGCAGAGGCAGAAAGAAGCCTTTCTGGAGGTTCCCTTATCTGACTAAAGGCAGAGACTTCTGAATAAATCCCCTGTCCTGGGAAGCTTCCAGCCAGGAAGGAGACTAACCATTAGAGAAAGTGCATAAACAAACCTTATCAAAAACTGTCTACCTTCCATTTGTTCTCCTAGAACAAATCTTCTATCTTTCCCCCACCCTAACCCTCACCGTTTCCCTTCCCTGGTTAAGCTGGTATGTAAGCCCGTACTCCCAGCTGTTCAGTGAGTTCATCAGTACTGAGTACTCCCACAGACAAGGGAATCAACTTCATCTTTTCTTTTGTTAATATATCGATTGTCAGTTAATTTGCAGACCCCTGGTATCTGGACCTAAGTTAATAGAGGAAAAGTTTTTCTCCCAACAGTAATATAGCGCCTTCAAGGAATGCCACAGGTATCAAAATAAAATAGAAATAATAAAGAAGTACCATTATTAACTTGGATTTAGAGAACCTTAACCCTAGAATCCATTTTGTCCAGTTCCCTGTGTGACGTAGAAATGGAATTCTGCAACTTCTGTCAGGGGCTGAGCGGTACTTTTAACCCACTCTGAGACAAGAAATGTCACATACATGCTTGAGCCAGTGAAGACTGGCTGCTGTTAATAAGGAGATCTTTCAGAAAAATTCTTCTGAGCCAGCCTATGCCTGCCACCTACTCTCTTATCTTCAATAGTTGATTAGCCCCTCTAGCTCTCAATTCTTTCTCTTGGATTTAAGATTTCTAGATGCCCCTAATTACCCTTTGCAAACAATATATTTCACATTACCATATTGCGGTGCAAAACTGGATAAAACTGTTCAAATCAAGAGGACTCTGATTCCCTATCCAATTTTCAGGAGACTCGGTCTTTTCTTGCTCCATTATCCCATCTAGATAGTCCTGAGATGCCCCTGCGCGGCCTGTGCTGGTTCCTGACATCTGCTCCTGCCATCAACCTGCCCCTTCTAGCTGGGAGGTAGTGAGAATGCAGGCAAGGGTGGCTTCTCTTGCTGTGGCCACATGGCCTTCTGGGGGAGTCTCTAGACCTCCAGCCGAGAGTGCCTGGGAGATCTAACTGGCCTTGAGATGGGCAGGCCCATAGTGCCACCCAACAAGGGCCCAGTTGGCAGTGCAGTCATGCCTCTCCCCACAGGTACCCTTGCCCAAGGCTGGACAATGCCCCTAGGCACCTCAGGCAGGCTAACTGGGCTACAATTTGGTCAGCATAGTAGAGGTGCTGAAAAATCCCAGCAGCACACCTCATACAGGAAAACACACCCAGGGCTTAATGGAACCCACCTTCTTCTTTTTTTCCATTTTTTAGAAAATTGTGGAAAATATACGTAATATAAAATTGGCCACTTGCTATGGTTTGAATGTCCTTTCCAAAACTCATGTTGAAAGTTATCTTCAATGTGGAGTATTGAGGTGAGGCCTTTAAGGAATGATCGGATCATGAGGCCTCTGCCCCGGATTAATCCATTCACAGATTAATGAATTAAAGCTATCATACAATGCCCTGTGCCACCTGAGGATACCACAGAGAGTCCTCACCTGCAATAAGGCTCCCCTGACCCCTGACAACCATCATTCTACTTTCTGTCTCTATGCATTTGACTCCTCTGGGTACCTCATATAAGTGGAATCACACAGTCTTTGTCTTTTTGTGACTGGCTTATTTCACTTAATATAACTTCCTCAAGGTTAATCTATGTTGTAGCATGTGTCGGAATTTCCTTCCATTTTAAGGCTGGATAATCAATATGCCATTGCATGGATGGACTACATTTTGTTTTATCCATTCATCCATCTGATACAGGAGTTAAGAGGAAATCACTTAGGCAGGTAGTAAGGGTATGGAAGTCCTCGGTAAGGCTTTTCTTTTTAATGAAAAACAGCCCAAATCATTTTCTAACAAAGAGCAGCCTTTAAAGTCGAGCTGCAGACACAGGCAAGCAAGTTGGGGGCTTGCACGGGTGAATGCTGGCAGGAACTAGGGACTAGACATGCTCAAGATGGCGGCTCCATCATCCATTCTCTGCCAGCCACGTGTATAGTAAGAGCACACAAGATGGCACCAGCCACGGAGAATTCATTTGTGTAATAAGATTAGGGTGGGGTGACCAGCCTTCCTCGCGCTATGACGTGTGATATGACGCACGATGTGACGTCACACCTGATTGAACCAGTCTGTGAGCCCTAGGTAAATAAGACACCACCTCCTCAAGCTGGACTATAAAATCCCGTTCATTTGCCACCAGCCGTCTTTTCCGCTGGGAGACCCCTTTCTCTCTATAGAGAGAGCTGTTTTCTCTTTCTCTTCTATTAAACCTCTGCTCCTAAACTCCTCCCATGTGTCTGTGTCCCACATTTTCCTGGCGCGAGACGAGGAACCCCAGGGTATATACCCCAGGTAACGTAGCCAGGTCACATCAATGGATATTTGGGTTGCTTCCACCTGGCGACTGTGAATAGTGCTGCTTCGAACACTGGTGTACCCTCTCTTCTTTTGAAGGGAATTTAGTGGCCTTCAGTTGTCACTTAAGCAAGTCCCTGGCAAGCCCCAAAGCTGCTCGTGAGAGTAGCCCTTCCAGCTGCACAGGCTGATCTCATCTCATGACATTTCCAGGGTTGTTTTAGTGCCTCCTTTGTCGACCACCTGGGCAGCCCACTCCTGAGTCTGGCTTTGGGGCGGAAGTTTCTGCTCTTTCTGACAAGAACCTTTCAATTCATGCACACACAGCCCTTCCCTGGGACATGAGCCTGCGTTATTATAGAATGGCTGACAGAGCTCTTCTATGTCAGCTGCCTCCAGCTCAGAACCAACCTCGCCTTGTGCGAGTCTCCCTGGGTCCCCATGGTGGATTCTGTCTCAGAGCCTCAACGCTCTTCTGTGGTTGGGGCCTTAATTATCACAGTCACTCCTTCACATTCTGATATTTTTCCCTACTTTTAGGGGGGGAGACAATATACTGCCATCATATGGGAAAAGGAAGTGTGGCTTCTCCATTTTTCTTGTCTGTTCTTCCTCATAGACCCCCACCTTGTAGGGAAAGCAAGGGGTGGGAGAGTTTAAAGATCTCATTCTCCTCTAGTTTAAAGAGAGTCTTGCAGACAACTGAAATGCGGCTCCCTCTCAAGGCCAAGTTAAGCCCTGTCATTTGTGTGACCCAGTTCTTCCAGGTAAAGGCACCCTTTTCCCATTTGTCCTCCCCATCTCTGCCCCACAGTGGCGTGGGCTGGGTGAAGACCCCAGGGCAGAGAGGCAGAAGCGCCCTGGGTCTGTGCTGCATCCTCTGGCACTGTAGGTCTTTGTTGGCTTGTGGGTTGTCATGGACACATCTAGTGTGCTCCGCTGCTGAAGTCTGGATCCCGTTGTAAAGTCCCAGTGTGCTGTGGCCTTATCACATTCCCATTCCTCTTACTCTCACTTTCACTCTCCACGAGGAGTGGGGGCCTCCTATGTCCTCTGCACACCACAGGCAGCCAGTGGGGAGCCAGGAGCTCTGCCGCAAGTTCAGCCAGCCAGCTCTTCACCCCCACCTCCCAAAGCCTCCTGTACTCAAAGACACGAAGCTTCTTGGCTCAACTTGAGAGGTGGCAAGAGGATTCTCTGTATGTGAAAGAAACTTTATTCTAGAGTCTATCAGGCCTGGCTCTTAAAAGGTTAAACGAAAGAAACTTCGTCTAGCTGTAGATTTAAAAAAACCCAACTGTGAGACTCAAAGACGATCGATGACTATTTTGATTTCGGTGGTACCTGCTGTCTTTCCTGAGACTGATGATTTGACAGTAGGAATGGAAGCCCACATGGAATGTAATTTCATGCCAAATTGAAAATGTATTGACTTCATTTTTATAAAAGATAATCTTCATTACCCACAGTCAATCTTAAAGAGAACAAGAGGGGTTTCTGCTCTCTTCCCTTTGGGGGTCCCACTTCTGGTTCTGCAGATGGTTTCACTCACTCCCAGCAAACCTAACCTGATCACAGAGTGGACCTGGGCCCATTGGTGGAAAAAGGAGGAGGGGGAGCTCAAGTTAAACGGAAATGTGTTATAGTCTCACTACCAAATAATGGGTGGACTCTTGCTTAACTTTTTAGTTTCTTTTTAAGAAATTAAAATGTAAATTGATGTTTCCATCTTCAGAAACCAAAACTTGCCAGTACCCCACAAATGGCAGACTTCAAATATGGGAAACTTACTAACTCCCTCTTTTGGCTCTCTGCCATTTGGGCAATGTTTACATCTTTGACTCTGCATCCTGTGTCACAGATGAAGCGTGAGCCATTTCATGTGCTGCTGTTGTTGACCTTTTTATTTTTATTTATTTATTTATTTATTTATTTATTTATTTATTTATTTTTGAGACAATGTCTCGCTCTGTTACCCAGGCTGGAGTGCAGTCCTGCAATCTCAGCTCACTGCTACCTCTACCTCCTGGGCTCAAGTGATTCTCTCACCCCAAACCTTGAGTAGCTGGAACTACAGCCACTCAAAAAAAAAAAAATAGCCCTGCTAATTTTTCTATTATTATTATTATTATTATTTTTTTTTTTTCGTAGAGATGGGGTTTCACCATGTTTCCCAGGCTGGTCTTGAACTCCTGGGCTCGAGCAATCCACCCACCTCGGCCTCCCAAAGTGCTGAGACGTGAGCCACCATGCGCAGCCTGACCTTTTAAAACCTGGGAGGCACAGCAAGAACTCTGGAAACCAGAGTCTTTGAGTGAGTGAATTCCTTCTAGAATACTTGAAACTATCCCGAAAGTCTTTTTTTTTTTTTTCTTTTTCCCAAGACGGAGTCTTACTCTGTCACCCAGCTTGGAGTGCAGTGGCGGTATCTCGGCTCACTGCAACCTCTGCCTCTCAGGTTCAAGCAATTCTGCTGCCTCAGCCTCCCAAGTAGCTGGAACTACAGGCACACACCACCAAGCCTGGCTACTTTTTTGTATTTTAGTAGAGACAGGGTTCCACCATGTTGTCCAGGCTGGTTGCGAACTCCTGACCTCAGGTCATCCGCCTGCCTCGGTCTCCCAAAGTGCTGGGATTACAGGTGTGAACCACTGCGCCCAGCCAAAGTCTTTCATTTATACCTGCTTTCCCTCAAGTGCCAATGGAGATTCATGAATTGTAACAAATGTACCCTCAGGTTGGAGATGTTGACCGTTGGGGAGGTTGTGCATGGTGGGGGAGTGGGGAAGGGTATGTAGGAAGTCTCTGTTTCTTCCACTCAATTTCACTGTGAACCTAAAACTGCTCTAAAAAATAAATTCTATTTTTAAAAATGGGAAAAAAATCCAAGATCCATCACATGTAAAATTGATTAAAGTATATTTCATTAGTATAAATTTGTAACTGAAAATTTATAATATTTACTTAATTTTTAATCAATGAATAGGAATCACAAGGTGATACAAAAAAACTTGGAATGAGGAGTTGTATTTGACAATTAGAGAGTCAGCATCCAAATTATATCTATGTTTTATGTTGTATTCATTTATATTTTGTTCCTTGAGAAAATTTTGATTACAAAGGTAAATAATTACAAATAAAAACTGACTCATAATATTTTGCCTTGAAATCTCAAGGTATTCATTCTTTAATCTAAATTGAAGAAAAGGTGACAGAAAATCTTTGCTTCAAAGTTGAATCACTAAGAATGTCTAATACATGCTTACACTCCTAAATGCAAACATAAACATTTTATAAGGAGTACACAAATTTACACCACGATGTATAATTTTACACCATCATGTGCTGTTACATGGCTGGCTATCCTGTCCTATGGAGAGCATGAGGATCTCAGGGAGGAAGACAAGTTGAGACTTGCCCATTTGAGCAAAGCTAGTGTGCATTTAACACCTTTGTCTAAGGTCTTGTAGGTTAGTACAGACCAAGGCATTTTTGACCAGGCAGCAAGGGGAGCCAAAAGCCATGCCACGCTCTGCCCCCAAGTCATGCACCCAACACAGAGCTGCATCTGCCCAGAAGAAGGAGTTTCTTTTCCTAATTCACATGCAGGTGACTTATAAAGACAATAAGGCACTATATAGTCAGCAGTGAGAGGTATAGTTGTGTATTCACGCATTTCAGTTTTATATGCTTGAATATACACAGGCATGAATTTCTTAAAAGAGCAGTTGAGAGTTTCAATTTTTCAAGTTCCAATTACATATTTGGAAGATCAACTATATGCACAATAATGACGAGAACAATTTTATTCAATAGTCTGCACAAAGATAAATTAATCATGGCTGCATAAGTTAATGTAGTGGTATTCTTTAAAGTGTCAAAATTCAGTGTATAATACACCTAAGAGTATTGTTTGCATCATTTTAGCAGAAAGAAAATGAATAAATATTTTATAGGCATTTAAATGAAAACTACATGTGCAGTCTCAAAAACTATGGAATAAAAATGAGGTCACATATCCATTAAATCGAAATTAAATGGCTTAAATATTTTGTTTAATTGTGTTGTTTTTACTAGAGACAGGGTCTGTCGCACAGGCTGGAGTGCAGGGTGCAGGGTTGTGATTATGGCTCACTGTAATCTCAACCTCCTGGGCTCAAGCAATCCTCCCATCTCAGCCTCCCGAGTAGCTGGGACTACGGGCACATGCCACCATGCCTGCCTAAGTTTTTAAAATTTTTTGTAGAGACAAGTCTCTGTATGTTGCCCAAGCTGGTCTCAAACTCATGAGCTGAAGCAATCCTCCTGCCTCAGCCTCCCAAAGTGTTGAGGTTACGTGGGTGAGTGAGCCCCCACTCCCAGCAAAATGATTTCAAATTCTTACCCACTTCCCCAGATGTAGTTTGAAGGTCAAAGATTGCTGGGCTGTTGGTTAAGATATCCTTGCCGGTACTGCTGCCATTGTAACCACAGCAGTGTGCAAGGGGTATTCTGGAATCATAAAAAAGAGATGCCTAAACCTGATTTAGGAGAAGATGCTGAAAAAATGCTAGGAAAGATTGTATTAACCCTGCCACTTATTTTCTGTATTCTGTTGCTTTTATATCTGCGGCCTTGCTGACCCTGGAGGGACTGCCCCTCCAGGACTGTTTAATTCCTAGAGATATTAAATGACTTGCCACAGAGTGTGCCTTTCATATGAAAACCAACCAATCCAGAGCCCACACCCCACAACCCCCTTTCTTATTGGGCTCCCATATGTAGGGCCACTATTCTCCTATCCTAATCACCTCATGGCCAGGTGCAAGACAATTACAGATGACCTCTGTGCCCCAGAGCCTGTTGAAATTATTCAGACTAGACCATCCTAGAGCTGCTTCCCTGTCTCACCCATTCCTTCCCACAAAACCACCACAAAAGCTCTCTCCCTGGATCTCCTGACCAACCCTGGTGCTTCCCCATGTGGCCCTTTGTGATATGGTATGCCCCCTCCTCTTGGGAACTGTAATAAATGATCTTTTCAAGGATAATTATCTCCTGATCTGCTGGCCTCATTATACTTGAATAATAATAAAATCCACATGTTAAAACAAAGACTTCCTGAAGGAGGTAATGTATGAGATAAGGTCTGAAGAATGTGGAAGTATCATCTTTGTATAATGAGGCAGCAAATGGTGTTTTAGGTACAGAGAACAGTATGTGCTGGAGATAAAAGAAGGCAGAAGCCACCCAAGAATTCAAGTAGCTGACTGTGGCTGGAGCACAGAAAGTGAGGAAGATGTGGGTTAAGGTGGAGTTGAAGAGGTTGGCAGGCACCAGATCTGGAAGGTCTTTATGTGCCATGTTTAATAATCTGCAGAAAACATCAGCTACTGAGTTGTGCCTGACCACTATGCTTTCTCATCTTCCTTCTCCTGCAGACAGCCTGCTAATATCTGTGGGATATTTCTCCCACACTTTATGCTGTCTGGTTGGGGACATCTGATTGGTCCACCTGACCAAATTTGACGAATCAGAATGTTCCCTGGGATTGATATAGAAATGGTGGGAAAGATGCTGTTTTTCTACAGAAGTGACTGGCTTTGGTGGATGTGATTCCAGAGCTGGCAGTGGTGGTCTTCCCTGACACTTGGAAAGACGCTGACTAAAGAAGAAAGCACTCCAATGGAGACAAGTAGACATGAGACACTGACAGTGAGAAAAAAAATATTCCACTGATTTTAACTCCCGATTTCTTGATCCTGAAATTCTAGTGTTTCTGCTTTTCTTTGAATACTATGAACTACCACAGAATCCTTTTCTATGTGAACATGAGAATCCCTTTTTTAAAGTTTTGCTTTGTATTTTTTTCCCTTTTGTTCAATCCAGTTTGCTTTGAATTGCTGCCATTTGCAACTAATGGGTCTTAAAAAAATCCTTCACTAAGGAAATTTAGAGATCCTGAGGAATTTTAAGTAGGAGAAGGATGTAATGGGATATATATTTTAGAATGATCATTTTGGAGCTAATATGGAGAATGAATTGGTGTGGAGAGAGAAGGGAAGGAGACATCTGGCTGGAGGTGGGAAGAGACAAATTGGAAAGCTTTTGTAGTAATTCTGGCAGAATATGGTGAAGGCCCAAAACAGAAGGGAAAACTGGGCAGTTGGAAAAGATTAGATAGATACAGAGGCGGGATGATTAATGAGATTTTGGTAAAATCTGAAATCGTTAGGCTTCTAATACACTTATTTTAGGATTTAACATTATCATCTTTAGAAAATTGTCTCTAGTGGTGATGATACCATAATCTTTTCAGTGATTAAAGACAAAAATCTTAATCTGGCTTGGTTTGTAAATAATCAAATGGAGTTTAAGAGCAGTAAGCAGGGCACAGTGGCTCACACCTCTAATCCGAGCATTTTGGGAGGCCAAAGCAGGAGGATCACTTGAGGTCAGGAGTTCGAAACCAGCCTGGCCAACATGGTGAAATCCTGTCTCTACTAAAAATACAAAAATTAGCCGGGTGTGGTGGTGTGCACTTGTAATCCCAGCTACTCGGGGGGCTGAGGCAGGGGAATCACCTGAACCCGGGAGGTGGAGGTTACAGTGAGCCGAAATTGCGCCACTGCACTTCAGCCTGCGTGACAGAGCGAGACTTCATCTCAAAAAAAAAACCCAGTAGCAATAAAAAGCAATTCAAGGGTTTGGAAGGGTGGGTGAAGGGGAGTGATAGCATTCCTCTCGCATTTTAAGAATATCCTTTGACTGCTGTGTGGAGAATGGCTAGAATGAAGGCAAAAGTACAAACAAGGAAACTAGTCATTCTTCAATATTTATGGAACACCTACTATGTGCCAGGTACCATACTAGACCCCAGAGATGGAATAGTTAATAAGAAGGATACAGTTTTTGGCTCCATGGAGCTTCCATTTTAGTGGGGCAGTCAGACTATAAGCAGACAAATTATCTATCTATCTATGTATCTATCTATCTATCTATCTATCTATCTATCTATCTATCTACCTATCATCTCTATCATCTGTCTATCCAACCATCTACCTATATCTATCCATCTCTTTCATCTATCCATTTATATCTATCTAATGTGTCTTCTATCTGCCTACTTACCTATCTCTATCATCTATTTATCTATCTCTACCATCTACCCATCTATGCACCTATTCATCTACCTATCTATCTCTATCATCTGTGTATCCATCCGTCTACCCATCTATCATCTATCTATCTATTCATCTATATATCTGTTCATCTCTCTGTCTATCAGTCTATCTATCTTAGGAGTTGATAAGTTTTAGGAAAAAAGGTAAAGCAGGGTATGGGGCATGGCAGGTGGAGGTTTACAGGAGCAGGTTGCTATTTTATTAGGCTGTGTCAGGGAAGTTTATCTTATTTGAGCAAAGACCTGGAGAAAATAAAAGTGTGAGCAGCAGTAATATCTGCAGAAAAGCATTCCAAACAAAGTAAACAGCAAACTGAACATGGGAGCGTGCCTATTGTGTTTGAAGAAAGGCATGGGGATCAATAGGAATGGAGCAAGAGGGGAAATGGTAGGAGACAGGGAAGAGAGGTAGTGGGGTCCTGATCACGTAAGTCCTCAAAGGCCTTTGTTAGGATTGACCCTTACCTCTGTGACCAATGAGAAGCCATTGTATGGTTTCAAACAGAGAAGAGGCCTGCCTTGGCTTAGATTTGAAAAGAATCCCTCAGGCTGCTTTGTGGAGTATAGACTCGCAGGAGGATGAGCAAGGGTAGAGGCAAGGAGACAGTTCAGAGGCTACTTGCGTTCATCTAGATCAGGTTTCACAGCCTCTGCACCATTGACATTTAAGGCCAGATAATTCTTTGTTGTAGAGGCTGCCCTGTGTGTTGTATGATGTTTGGCAGCACTCCTGGCCTTTAACCACTAGATGCCAGTAGTGACCCTTCCCTCAGTAGTGCCACCAAAGATGTCTCCAGACATTGCCAAAACCCATGGGGAGAAGAGTGGACAAAACCTTCCCCAGGTGAGAACCACTGATCTAGATGACCGATGACAGTGGCATGCACTAGAGCAGTAGATGGGCAGGTGGGGAGAAGTGGTGAGATTCTGTATGTGTTTTGAAGGCAAAACACACAGAATTTGTTGATGCATTATGCGTGGATCCTGTGAACAAGATAAGGATTAGGAAGATTTTAAGATTTTTGGCCTGAGGCACTGGAACAATAAAGCTGCTGCTTACCAAGATGGGAAAGACTACAGGAGGAGCAAGTTAGAGGAAATCAGGAGTCTGGTTTTGGATGTGTTGAATTTGAGATGCCTGTTAAATCCACATGGAGGTGACAAGTAGGCAGTTGGATATACAAGTCAGGAGTTCAGGAATGAGGTCCAGGCTAGAGACAGAAATGTGACAGTCATTAGAACAGAGGTGTTACTTAAAGCCTTGAGGCTGGGAGAGCTTGTCTGTGCAGGGAGTAGAGATAGGGAAGGTGTGTTAGGCAGCATTTTAAGATGGCCATCTGATATCTGACCTATGTTATGTCCTTTGAAAGTAGACAGGACGTAGACTTGCTTCTAACTAGTAGAATATGGTGAGGTAAGGGGTTGTCCCTCCTACAAGTACACCATGTTACATAAGTCTGTTTTTTTGCTGACTGGAATCAGAGGCTTTCCTGCTGACTTTGAAGAAGCAAAGGGCTTCTTGACAACCACTGTGGAGAGGTCTCATGGCAGGGAACTGCAGGAGACCTCTAGGAGCAGAGGGCAGACTCCAACAGATAGCCAAAAAGAGGCTGGGGCCCTCAGACATATGGGTGCAAGAAAATGAATTCTGCCAAAAATCTAAATGAGTTTGGAAATAGATTCTTCCCCAGCTGAACCTGCAGATGAGAACATAGCCCAGTCATGCCTTCATTTTTGCCTTGAGGGAGATTCTGAGTTAAGCAAAAACAGGTCTGAGTTCAGGAGCACATTGGTGCTGAAAAGTTGAGGTCAGGACAAGCCAACAAAGACTGGCAGAAAACAAAGGCAGAGTCAGAAGCTAAGTGAATAAAATGAAACATTTTGAGAAAAACAGAGGGACTACTGTGTCAATTGGGACTGACAGGTTGAGTAATCTGAGGTCTGAGAATGACTTATGGGATTTGGCAAAGTGGTGATTATGAGTGACCTTGAAATGACCTTGAAAAACAGCTGTCTCCCTAGAGTAGCGGGACTGAAAGCCTGATGGCAGTAACTGAGGTTAAAACACACACACACAGACACACACACACACACGTCAGGATTTGGATTCATATGGGAACAGCAATCAAGTCTGCATTCTGTTTTGGAGGTAACATCAATAGGACTTGCTGACAGACGGGAATAGGGGAAGGGAGAAGTCATCCCAAAGGTGGAAGCCCTAGCCACTGGGTAGGAGGCAATGCCTTTTACTAAAATGGGAGAAAACCAGGAGAGGAACAGGTAGAGGAGGGAACCAGTTAAAGTTATGTTAAAAACCTGGTGTCTCTTAACATATCCCCACAGAGAAATTCCATAGGCAGTTGGATATGAGTCTGAGCTCAATAAACAGGTCAGGATTAGAACTTCAGAGCGTTCCATTTACAGAAAGTACTTAAACCAATGATACTGTCTAGAATCATTGAGAACAGTGGTTCTGAAACTGAGAGATGAGGGTACATAGGAGGTGGCGATCTTGCTTCCAGGGCACACTGGGCAATGTCTGGAGGCATTTTTTATTGTCACAATTCAGGCAGGGAGTGCTACTGGCAACTAGTGTGTAGAGGCCAGGGATACTGCCAAATATCCTACAATACACAACAAAGAATAATATAGCCCAAAATGTCAGTTGTGCCAAGGTTGACAAATCCTGGTCTAGAAAGCACGTTGCTATAGAAGGAGACTCAGAATCAAGCTCTGGGGAATCTGAAATGTGGAGGTCAGATAGGAAAGGGTAATCCTTAAGGGAGATTTAGGATATAGGTCCAGAATAGCAGGGAGAACACCTACGTGACTATGATAAACTAAGAAAAGAACAGGAAGTGAGAACCGGGAGACCCCGAGCACAGGTTGCTAGGAGTAGACGTCTTTGCTCACACACCTCCTGATAGAATTTATATACCATCTTGAACATTTTTAAGTTGACACCTGAAATAGTTCATCATAAGTCTATATTTTTTAAAATTATTTATAGGCTGAAAATATTTAGTATTTTAAAAATATAACATAGGAAAAGATTGACTTGATTGGAATAAAACTTGCCTGATACAATTTACTGTTTTTTAAATGCTAGCTTTCAGTTATTCTCTTTACTTAACCATACTGAATCTGAAAAACCCCTGTTAAAATGCTGATTTGTGTTTCTACCCCCATTGTATCTGGACACTTTTGGTAGTCCCTCAAACCAATTTAGTTTAATTTAAAAGAATCAATGTCACTAACCCAAAGGGATTCTGCTTTTCTGATTTCAGAGCATGCTAACAGTAACCCAAAGACTCTGTTTCTAATGATACCCTTTGCTCTTAACAAGAAAGAAAGGAAGTCCTAAGTGTTGATGTTTCTGTTAAAAAATTAAGGGAGACCAGTTTTTTGGGGCTGAGGTCCTGCGCTAGGCCTCAATGGACCAGACTAAACTAAAATGGAGTCACTCGTACTGACTGCCATTTAATCAAACTGAAACTTTAAGGAAGGAGATAGATCTCCAAACAGACCAGTTTTTTCCTGAAAACAGGAGATTCCAGTCCACTTGTGTCAGCATCATACGGACGTTTCCCCTGCTTTAACCCCTACAAGTCACCTCCTGAAGTAACCTGATGTTAACCAATCAGCTTCTTTTTTACTATTGTTCCGTTTCCTTGTTCTCACCTTACAAACCACCCCCGTTCTGCAATTTCCCAGTGGGACCTCTTGTTCTATTTTTTTTTTTTTTTTTTTTTTTGAGACTGAGTCTCACTCTGTCGCCCAGGCTGGAGCGCAGTGGCACAATCTCTGCTCACTGCAACCTCCGCCTCCCAGGTTCAAGTGGTTCTCCTGCCTCAGCCTCCCGAGTAGCTGGGATTACAGGTGCCCGCCACCACACCTGGCTAATTTTTGTATTTTTAGTAGAGACGGGGTTTCACCATGTTGGCCAGGCTGGTCATGAACTCCTGACCTCAGGTGATCCGCCCACCTTGGCCTCCCAAAGTGCTGGGATTATAGGCGTGAGCCACCGCATCTGGCCTTCTTGTTCTATTTTGTAGGATGGTGGCTGCCCTGATCCATGAATCATAAATAAAAGGAAGTTAGATTTATCACTAATGATATCTGATGCATTCTTGGGCATATCAGTTCTACTACAGAGTGTATATGGAAGGAGAAGACCTGGAAAGGGACTCTCTTATAATGATCTGTGCACAAGATTGTATAGAGAGTTTTCAGGTATCCCCAGGGGAATGGTAACCAAGTTGGGCAACCAGGGTATAAAGAAGTATTTTACAAGCTATACTGTGAATGACGGCAGGGCAGGAAACTCAGAGGTTGCTGACAGGAGTGGTCCATGAGAAAGTAGGCATTGAGGCCAGGCGCAGTGGCTCACGCCTGTAATCCCAGCACTTTGGGAGGCTGACAAGGGTGGATCACTTGAGGCCAGGAGTTGAAAACCAGCCTGGTCAATATGGTGAAACCCATCTCTACTAAAAATACAAAAATTAGTTGGGCATGGTGGCGCATGCCTGTAATCTCAGCTACTCGGGAGGCTGAGGGAGGAGAATTGCTTGAATGGGTACCCGGGAGGTGGAGGCTGCAGTGAGCAGAGATCCTGCCACTGCACTCCAGCCTGGGCTACAGAGTGAGACTCTGTCTCAAAAAAAAAAAAAAAAAAAAAAGAAAGAAAAAAAAAAAAAAAGAAAAGAAAAAGCAAAAAGAAAAGAAAGGAGGCATTGAGTTACCTCCCAGAGTGGAGTCCTGGAAAGGGCTGGAGAGAATGAGTCCCAAGCACCCGAGGAGGGAACTGACTGTGTGACAGTGGGGATACTTGCTCCCCTATGACAGTCTCTCACCGCTCTTCTCACTAACTCGGCTTTATCTTTAGTGAACTTTTAGTTTTTATTAGTTTATCGTGCATCTGTTCCATTACAATGGAAATTCCATGATGAGAGGGACTTTTCTGTATTGTTCATTACTGAATTACCAGTGCTCAGTGTATTGCCTACCATAGAGTAGGTGTTTAATAAATGCGTGTGGAATAAATGATAAAAAATGAAAATACCTGGACACAGATATAGTATAGATGTGATCTGATGGTAAGAACATGTGAGAATTGTTGTGCAATTTGCTTCTGTTTCCCCAACAAAAGGTGACAGAAGGGCATGAGCTAAGACAGAGGGGGCGTTGTGGGGAAGAAGTAGGGGAGAAAGTTGCGGCAAGTCTTGAAGGCATGAACTAGTCATTTTCATTAGAGAGAAAGCAAGCCTGCTGGAGATACAAGGGAGTTCGCAGTCACTGCTGAGTATCCTGCTGGGGCTCAGAAACTGGTGCCCTGACATATGGCACTTTGACACGTTGAACTGGAGAAGCAGCCTCAAGGTCTCTACCACCCCCTCCTCTTCTCTGGCTCCAGTTCTTTGTCTCTCCTAAAGCACAGGATGAAGTTCTTCTCTGAGGTTCCCTAATATACCTGGAAACCAGACCCCCAAAGAGGAACACAATTGCCCTCCACCCATTCCCTGAAATCTCATTCTGTATCACAGGAAGGAAGACTGAGGAGTACAACCACACCTGGATGGACTTTTCCACAAGACACTGTCTGCCTCTAGGGCTCATCTAAATTCCAAAGAGAATCATTTTCAGGTTACTTTCTGTCTCCTGGGTCCATTCATTTCCCCTGTAAATTATTTCAGTCCTACACCCCCATCTCCCCACTTCCCAATAAAGAGCATACTTAAGCATCAACCAGCTGGCTGTTTTGGAGTTTTCATGTTTTGTATGATTCCAGTGCACATGTGTGCACTTAGTAAATTTCTGATGCTTTTCTCTGTTAACCTGTCTTTTGTTATAGGAGTGTCAGCCTTGACCCTTTATGATGGGGAGGAAGGGGATCACCCCTTTTCTGCCTCTGCACCCATTTGAGGTTTGTGGTTGA
This sequence comes from Homo sapiens, assembly GCF_000001405.40. Taxonomy (NCBI): domain Eukaryota; kingdom Metazoa; phylum Chordata; class Mammalia; order Primates; family Hominidae; genus Homo; species Homo sapiens. The sequence continues at coordinate 230,637,656 of NC_000001.11, forward strand.
GTATTTTAAAGTGCAACTGGTTGGCTCAGTTCTGTGATTGATTTCTAGGTGTTTGGCTTATGCAGCTGGCATTTGGTGGAGCCATTTATCAAGAAACAAAATGAAGGAGGATAAGAAAGCCTTTCAGGAAAGATAATGAATCAATTTCGAACATGCTGAGTTTGAGGCATCAGTGGGACATCAAAGTGAAGTAGTATTATACATGGGTCTAGTGGAGGGGGGAAAGAAGCACATGGTGAAGATGTGACGGGAGAATTGTGAGTATGTGGACCAGAGCTGAAACCCTAAGGGCACAGCTGAGATGACTGTGGGAGAGGGTAGCATGGAAGAGAAAGGTTAGCAGAACCCCGAGGAGCACTAATTGTGAAAGAGTCGCATACATTTATCATGCTTGAAGGTCGTGTCTCTCTAAGCAGATTCTGAGCTCTTCAGGGTCAAAGGCTGGGTCTTGAGCTTCATTCATTCTTAGCCCCTGTCATAGTGCTGGCCACACAGAAGACAATTCTAAAATTCACTCTGATTTTATTTCTCTGCACTTTCATTTATGAGGATCCTATCACGGTTTATGATTTGAAATGCTAAGGGATAATTTTTTTAAAATCATAACTTTCATACGAATATAAAAAGAACACTTGTAAAGATTTGAACTCAGTACTTAACAAGAGAACTAGTAAAATGTTATCACCACTTCAAGAGACAATCTAAAGAGCAGACAAATATACAGCCAAGGATGTGCGAATGAACTTCCCTAAGATATGCAAAACTGGCTTTTTCCAAAGGAAATTGAGGCAAGATGGGTCAACTTTACTTTCACAGGATAAAATTTATTTGCATGTTTATAGACAAATGTTACTATTATTTGCATTGCTATCAGTTATGCACAACTTACAGAGTTGTAAAATAGCTTAAAGTCAAGAAAGGCACAGGATACACCATAGAGTCACATCTGGAATGGCATGCTAGACTGACTCTTTTTCCTTTGAAGACAACTGTAACCTTCTTGGTTCATTTCAAAGTCACAATTTCTCCTGTAATGCTAAAAAGGAAAAGATATTATCCCTACCATTTCTATGAGTGGGGTCTATTACAAAACATAGATGAAAGTATATTTGGGTATTACTATAACATTTCCTAGTTGATGAGGGAGATGAGGCTGAATTGGGGACCCCCCCTAACATAATGTCTTCTAATTGGCATGGGAAATGTTCACGAATCAAACCAAACCACCTCAAATCCACCCTGGAATGAGGCAGAGTTATAAACAAAATATAGAAGATGTTGAAATAGCCCAGTTGGTTCATTGAGCTTTCCAAGTCAGAGTGCAGGTCCTGAAGGTGGTGACTGTCTCCCCTGTCCCCTGCTGCTCCACCCCTACCGCCATGTCTGCCCTCCTCTAGGAATGCAGGACCGTCTGACTGTATCCTCAGCCTTCAGGTCAAGCACATGATCTGTTTAAAAATGGAAACCCTCCTATCCTTCAGTAGTGAACAAGGGCGACTCTGGTTGCTTTTGGAAAATTCAGCTGCTTTAGTCCAACAGTTCAGGAGAGGATCAGCATAAGAACTTGGTGATGATTACTAGAGAAAATGCTCCTATGATTTCCTGAGCATAATATTTCCCCTTGCAATTTTTGAGTGTTCTATAGCAAACCTGCCAAAAATGTGGAGCCTATAAATAGGGGAGAGTGGGAAGAAAAAAATGGGACCTCTCACAATGCCACTGAAAACAGGGAACTAAAAATTTTCCAGAGATGCAAAGTCAAAGGGGGATTAATATTTACTTAGAAATGAAGTAGCAGGTGCATGCTTTATAAAGAAAAGCCAAGAAAGGATGAAATTAGGGGAGAGACTGAAAAAGATGGAAAAATGTGCCAACTAAAGTCTCATTTTGAAGAAAGTTACAGATCAACAAAGGGGGAAAAACTCAGGTAAAAAGACTCCATATTATGTCTTGCATTGATTAGGCAGGTGCTTTATATGCACTTTTAAATTTTCTCTTCCTGCAAATACTATGAAATAAGTATCACTACCAGAGATGACATTCAAATATTTAACAGCAGACAAATATTTAACAGCACAGACACTAGCCAATCAGAAGCTGGCTAGAGGAGCCCCGCTAAGCCAGGCAGTAACCCTCTAATGGCTGGATCATGAGGCCAAGGTAGGGGTCAGGGCAGCAGCAGATTCTGTACAGAGGCCATTCACCAACCTTTGAGATGTTGCAATATTTACCAAGTAGCACAGCTGAAATACTGTGTGCCAGTTGAACATCAGCTCTGAGTGGAAACCCAGGGCCATGTCCTCTGGGCAGGTGTAGGCTTTCTCTCTTGCGTTTGTCCTCTGTAGATTATGATGCTAGCATTGAAGTCTTTCTTGTTGCGCCTGGCTGTGGTGGTCTGCACCACTATCTGTGTCTCCAAGCCGCAGCCCACTCCATGGGGTCCTGATGGTTCCCTTCTGAATCTAGGGAGGACAGCAGGCAGCAGGGACCCTCCATCGCTGTTGCCACTTAATCCCTTTAGCATCCTCAAGATAAGCCCAGTCTGTACAAATTCAGGTTCATTTTATTTCTAAAGTCCCAGGAACAATGTCAGAAGGGAATTACAGTGAAGAAAGAAAGAGTTCAAGTTCCAGCTTACCTAGACTTCCTGCAGAGCCTCGAAAGAGAAGGCAGGGTTGCAGACATCTTTGTTTCATCTGTCCAGCATCCTCTCCCGTGCCTTGGTACTGGGCTTTGAAGCCAGGCTGCCTGGGTTTGCAACTTGCCACTTATTAACAGTGTGACCTTGGGATAAAGGCCCACCTTTCAGAGCCACTATAGATTGGTTATTGGAATTGCTGGTTTTGTTAGGTGTTACAAAATGTCAGGGTTTTTTTTTCTTCTTTTGATGCGTAAACTGAGGTATTAGGGGATAGGAAATGATATGGTGTTTAGAATTTGCTTTAAAACATATTCCAATAAAAGGGCTGGACTCAGTGGTTCATGCCTGTAAACCTAGCACTTTGGGAGGCTGAGGCGGGTGGATCATCTGAGGTCAGGGGTTCGAGACCAGCCTGACCAACAGGGAGAAACACCATCTCTACTAAAAGTACAAAATTAGCCAGGCATGGTGGCACATGCCTGTAATCCCAGCTACTCGGGAGGCTGAGGCAGGAGAATCGCTTGAACCTGGGAGGTGGAGGTTGCGGTAAGCAGAGATCATGCCATTGCACTCCAGCATGTGTAACAACAGTGAAACTCCGTCTCAAAAAAATATATATATATATGTATATATATATATATATAAAACAACAAAAAAAGAAGGTCTCGATGCGGTGGGTGGGGAAGGGCAGAGGAGACAGGTTGATGATGGTTGAAGCGAGGTGCTAAGTACATAGGGTGGGGTTCTTGTGCTCTCCACACTTCTGTGTACTTGAAAATTTTCATAACAAGAGAAAACAAAAAATTAAACAGAAAATGAGGTTTTCATTTCCTCCAGCAAAACAAACATAACAGGGACTTAGGATGTACTTTTCCCAATCGCTCCTCTGGCAGAATATTTTGATCCTCCAGCTAGCTTCCGGCTCTTATCCTGTTCATCTGTTCTGTAGATACTGGCAGGAAATAGGCTCTTCAACAGGGCCTGCTAGGTCCAGTGCTAGGGAGTAGAGCGTTTTGGATTCTACGCCTACATTTTTTTTTAAGTGACCAGTTTTCTAGTTGAGATACTTGAAATACAAAGTCTCATGGTGAGGTCTTACCCTCTGCTGTCCCATTCCTTTTTACAGGCCATCATGGCGTTAATCTTATCTCCAAGGAGAAAAATTGGGAAGAGAGGCCTAGATTCCTCAACAGAAGCGGGAAGGAAAGGTTTGCAGAATGAAGAGTGTGAAGTGAGGTTTGTGGTTTGAATCATCCGAATGTCAAGGAGAAAAGAAGAAAAATGAATCATCATCATTTGACCACGGTATTTACAGCTAGCGGAAGGGACAAGAGGAGAAAAAAGCAAGGGAGGAGATAAAGGAAGAACGTCTCAGAATAAAATTGGGGTGGGTGGGGGGAGGAGGAGGAAGACAGTCTAAGAAATTGGTTTGGTTGCACCAGTACTGGCCACAACACAAAAATTTGTCCATTCCTGGTTGAAATTAAAAATAAATGTGCATGCACATGTATTTGTCTGCTGTGTTTAATCAGATAGCGAGGCACTCCTTTAAGCACCTTGAAGACCCAAAGTTGCGCTCAGAGGCTGCCCACCTGGAACGGAGACCGAGGTTGAGCAGGGAGCTACTCAGAGGACCCAAAGCCGCCTAGCTGACCACCTTCTTCCCTATGAGTTCCCAGTAACGGAGCCCAGTGGAGGAGACGCTACACTTCTCTGTGGGGACAGAGGCTAAGGGCGGGGGTCTCCATAGAGGCGTTAGCGCCCACCAGCGGCAGTGACCGCGCACAGGGAGGTGAAGAATGCGACCACGGTGATACGTCCAACCTGGAAAACGGGCCTGAGAACCAAAGGGCCAACTTCTGGCCATGCATAACGAAGCAGAGCAGTCTCAGGGTAGAAGGCACTGGAAAAGCGTTGTAGGACAATTTTTCCCAGTAGAAACGGTGGGGGTGGGAGGGAGACCCGCTCACCCCTTTTGACCCACCCCTGCAGCTCAGCCACGCCTCCTAGGGAGGTGGGCAGCCTTGCAGGAGCCCGCGCGAGGCTGCAGTACCGCCCTCCGCCACATGAGGGCAGCACGGCCTACCCGTGCAGCAGCGGCGGCCCCCGCGCCCCTCTTGGCCAGAGCCAGGCGCAGGCCGGCTTGCGGTGCCGTCGTTCATTGGCCGCGGCGCGGGCGCTGCCATGTTGGCGGAAGCGGACCCCCCTGTGCCGTGGAAACTGGCGGTGGCCGCGGCCGCCGAGTCGGTCTGCGCAGCCTCCTGCGTTTTCTCGCTTGGATCTTGGCACTGAGAGGCGGTGGCCGGCGGGATGGAGAAAAGTAGGATGAACCTGCCCAAGGGGCCGGACACGCTCTGCTTCGACAAGGACGAGTTCATGAAGGTGCGCGCGGCGTCCGCTCCCCGGAGCCGGGCCATGAGGGTGCCTCTGCCCTGTGCCCTCTGTGGCGGTCTCTTCGGTCGGCTGCTCCTGCCTGCGCACGCTCAGTGTCAGGTCCTCCGCCGAGACCTCGCTGCACTTCGCAATGAGTCTTTTGGCGTCAGGTTTGGCGGGTGCAGCCTGGAGAAAGCACTTCTGTAAAATCGTGCGTGTTACATGGAAAGGCCTGAAAGTTCTGGGCAAGTGGTTTTGAGCTGCATGTCAAAGCCACTGTTACCCGTTCCTGTTACCATGCAGTGCAGTCAGATTGCCAGTCCCCTTGTCGGAAAGAAGCTTGTGGACCGGGGCCTTGGAGCTCATTAAGTGTGTGTTGAATAAATCTCCAAGCCCACGTACTTTCCTAGGGACTCGGGTCGGAAAGAAAAAGAACTTAATCTGAAGTTTTGCTTAACATTCAGCTAAAGCTTCCAGAATGGGATATTTAGAAGCTTAGAACATTCTTACCGACTATTGCAGTACGACAAAGCAAACCATTACTCTTTAAAGAAGTTGCTCTACTTTTTACGTGATGCATTTGAAGAAGTTGGTAGTTGTAGGTCATAAACTTAGAGAAAAGAAATATAAACTGAAAACACTTCACTGATGATAAAGTTCATCAGGCACAGCCTTGAAAATGGCCAGGCTTTGAGTGAGAGCTGGGAGGAGCTTTGCTCCTACTTGGTGTATCCCTCTGGGTCTGCACTTAAGCCATTCAAAAAATGTTTCTATTTAATTTCCTGAGGACTAGGATTTTTGACACCTTTTAGTAGCTGCTTTCAGTGTTAAAAAGCGAAAAGTTTTAGCTGGTTAGTAGACATCTACAATTTTGAGCAAGTGAGTTGAAATCTTACTCTGCCTTTCTTGGTGACATAATGTTTTCTAGATTAATTAGCCTATCTCTTTTTGATAATATTTGCATTCAGATTACATCTCCAAAGCTGTTTTTTTTTAAAGTAGATCTGTATCTTCTCCAGTGTGACCATATCATTTTTCGTATGTAGGACTTATCTATACCCAGGAATAATGTACCTTATTCTTGTAAGTGATATTCCTATTAGACCACTGTACTAAAAGGTGTAACTTCATTAGGATGTCTCAAAGAATGTACAGAATCAACTCATTGATCCAGAAACCCTTCGTTTTGCCTACTGGCTAAGAGCTACCCTGAAATGAGGGTAGAAAGAAACAGCTAAGGGTACATGCTGGGGAGAGGTGCCCTGGAAGAGGAAAGGCCATACACGGAGATCAGGGGCCTTGTTGACGTCAAGAATCTCAGAGTACAGAATAATCTCAGTTTGTCCATCTCTTGACTTCTTAAGGCTCAACACCAGCATCTTCTCTGACTCACTAGCCCCACCACCTTTCCCACTCTGAGTTGACAGAATGCCTTTGGTAAATGCAGCTTCAGGAAGTGAAATCACAGAAATACAAGTTCTAAAATAGAACTTAGAGTGCAAACTGGGGTGGTGGCTGGAATGCCAGCAATTGCATATTTCGTGGCTCTGTGAATATGCGGTACATTTTGTAGTGCTTATAAAAGTGACAACATACATAGAAGAAAATACATAGAACAGCTGTTCTGTGTAAAATTTTGTTGATTTTTTAGGTGGAGCTTGAAGATAAAGGTTATTTGCAATTTGTGTTGCCTTAAACATATAAAACTACATATAAGTTGCACTTCCATGGCAGAAAGGATGGTTGGAACACTTGTCCAGGCTATATTTCTATGTTTGTGTCTCATTCAGCACATTTTGTAATTGGATAGGTTTTGTACGTGTGAGAAAGTTGGGATATGACATTTGCATTGGGAGATTTGAGATTGCTTGAAAATCCAGATTTAAAGTTGCTTGAAATCCACTCTCTTCTGTTATTACCTCTCTTCTGGTATTACGTCTCTTCTGGTGTTGATGGGAAACTGTGTTTAGGTTGCCATAGATCATGAGGGCATGCTAGTGCAGTGGTAGCAATTGTTCAGTCAGTGGGCATTCCATGATCACCTGCTGTGTGCAGGTTTCAATGGGCCTTGTATACTGTACTGACGGATTTGCACTTGATTTAGTATTCATTGTGGAGTTACAGTCAGGTTAAAAGCAGGAAATGACATGATCATGTATGTTGCAGTTGGAACTGACTGGTGGCGGGAGGCTACTTAAAAAGTTATTTCAGTGGTTTTTATGAGATCTGAGAAATACAGGAGGGGATAGTTTGTGGAAAATATTACGTAAATGATCAAAAAGCAGGAGTGGCAGATGAACGAATCACTTGAGGGGTCAAAGGTGGTAATGGCATGATACTGTTGACTTCGTCAGCTTAATAAAATATACACACTGAGCAACATAGTGAGAATGCATTTCTACAAAATATTGAAAAATTAGCCAGGTGTGGTGGCACATACCTGTAGTCCCAGCTACTTGGGAGGCTGAGGTGGGAGGATTACCTGAGCCTGTGGAGGTCAAGGCTGCAGTGAGCCAGGATTGCAGCACTGCACTTCAGCCTGGGCAACAGAAAGAGACCCTGTCAAAAAAAAAAAAAAAAAAAAAAAGAAAATGTACAAACACTCTTAGAGAGGGTTGACAATCAGTAGATGAATTAGGATGTAAGATACTGGTAGTAGGAGAGAGGTGGTAGGCTAACAGGGATAACTTAAACCCACTTAACCTAGGTATGCTGTGGCAATCATATCCTTCTGTCTCACGTATGACTTCATGTGTTTTACAGAAAAAATAGAGGCCATCAAGCGGTAGCTCCTTCATCTTGCTGACAGCAACCTCGTTCTTGCATTTGTACCTGTTCTCACTCCCATCATTAACCTGTTGTGTAGGGCAATGGTCCCCAACCTTTTTGACACTTTTGGAAGACAATTTTTCCATGGACCAGGAGTGCAGGGGATGGTTTTGGGGTGATTCAAGCGCATTACATTTATTGTACACTTTATTTCTATAATTATTACATTGTAATACATAATGAAATAGTTATAAAATTCACCGTAATGTAGAATCAGTGGGAGCTCTGACCTTGTTTTCTTGCAACTAGACAGTCCTGTCTGGGGGGTGATGGGAGACACTGACAGATCATTCAGCATTAGGTTTTCATAAGGAGTGCCTAACCTAGATCCCTCGCATGTGCAGTTCACAGTAGGGTCCATGCTCCTATGAGAATCTAGTGCTGCCACTGATCTGACAGGAGGCGGAGCTCCAATACAGAGTGGCTGTGAATACAGGCTGCGCTCCTCCTGCTGGGCCACCCGGTTCCCCACAGGTAGTTGGGGACGCTGGTGTAGGGGTCTTTCCTTCCTCCTGAGGTCTGCCTCCCATGCCTGGATCCGGTGCCCTCTCCCTTCTCAGGACCCTGTTATTCCCACCCTCTCCACACTTCTTCCCATTGGCTTTCAGACACACTCCTATTTTAGTTTCTTCTACTGGACCCTCCAACCTCCAGTTAAAGCCCATCGCTCTCTTCCATCTCACAGCCAAATGCTCACAGCCAAATGTTGTCTTTACTTTCTCTCCCTTCACTCTTAAATTCACTTCACTCTGGTTTCTGGCCCCATCATTCCACTAAAGACTTCTCACCAAAGTTAACTAGATGGAAGTCGATCCACCAGACCTTCTCTGCTTCCTTCCCTGACCTCAGTAGATCAAATGCTCCCTTCATTTGCTTTCTGAAACCTGGTGCTTTCTGGTTATCTTTTGGCCTCTCTGGTCTCCTTGTCTCTTTTGCATAATCATTCTCCTCCTAGCCATTAATTGGTGGGTTATGGACTCAGCCACGTGTCTGTTCCTTTTCACATGCTGTGCACTTTCCGCAGGTGACCCACTTCATGCAGCTTCAATGACCACGTGTAGACAGGTGAAAGGTTCATACTTCTGGCCCAAATACCTTCTTATCTGCAACCCCATGTGCACAGCGCCTTGACATCTCTTCTTGGCTATCTCTGTGGCACCTCAAACTCGGCATATTTAAAACTGAATTTGTTGGGGGAAGATGAAAAAAACCAACCTTCTCTCAAACTTGGCTCTCTTCTGGTATTACCTATCTCAGGTAATACTAGACCTGAGGTAATCCATCCATCTGGTTGTGAGTCAGATGTTATCAAGGAGTCATCCTTGATAACACCTCTCTCCTTCACATTCTTGAAATCCAACCTGTTACTAAGCCTTAGGATTTCACTTCCCAAATATCTCTGAAATTTGTCTACTTCTCTCCATCTCCTCTTTTCCCACTTTCTGACTCATCATTATCTCTGGCCATTATAATCTAGTGGCTTCTTACTGTAGTCCCCTGGCATCCATTCTTGCCTTTTTCTAGTCCGTGTTCTACATCACAGGCAGGGTGCCCTTTTCAAAACGCATCTCGGTGCTTGTATGTAACAGGTGCTTGTATGTAATCAGACTGCCACCTGTATACACCATGAAAACATGAGAAAGCATTTTCCAGAACACTTGGAAGTATTCCAGAGCAGCTTATTGCACTGATGGACAGTTTCTATTGATTAGTAGCTATCTTGGTTATCTGATTGAAAAAACATAGCGTATATAGAGTTGGGTACTATCTGTGGTTTCAGGCATTGACTGGGGGTCTTGGAATATATCTCCCTCAGATAAGGGGACCCCTTACTGTAGTTCTGAGGCTCATCTGTATTCTAAGTGTGTAAATAGGGAATATTGAAACAGGAGGTGTGTCCAAGAGAATAATGCCTGGCTGATTGAATAGCAGTGACCTGGAGATGTGGGCCCCAGTTTCAGCTCTGCTGAGCACTCGTGTGATTTTGTGCAAATCGCTGGCCTCTGCGGGCTTCAGTTTCCTCATTTATGTCATGGGGTGATGCTTATCTCAATACTCTTTGCAGTGTTTCTGGCTCTTGTCGTTTTATGTTTCTGTGAATAAAGAAACTTACAGTTGCCCCTCAGTATCCGCAGAGGATTGATTCCAGGACACCTCCCACCCCTTCACAGATAGCAAAATCTGCAAATGCTCAAGACCCTCTTGTAAATGGTGTAGTATTTGCATATAACCTACTTACATCCTCTGGAATACTTTAAATCACCTCTAGATTACTTATACTACCTAATACAGTGAAATTGTTGTTATACTGTATTTTTATTTGCATTACTTTTTATTTTTTTAATTATTTTTTTAAAGACTCTTTTCAATTAATGACTGATTGAATTAGAGGGTGTGGAATGCTCGGATACAGAGGGACAACTGTAGTAGATTCTTCCAGTTTGCAGATAAAGAAACTGAGGTCCAGAGATGTTGTGACTTCCCCCAGAGTCACACAGCTAACTGGGGCAACCCAGGGCCATTATCTCATGACTCCCAGGCTTCAGTACTGGAAAAATAATCGTGTCATGCTTTCCTTTCTAGATGGTAGAAACTTTGGAATGTGTGATTTTGAATACTGAGAACAGCCCAAAAATGTCACATAGTCCCTATGCTAAAGCACATGCATTTTATCAGTAGGGACAAGATTGAGGGCCATCACTTAATTTAAAACAAATTGTAACCCATCTAGTGATCTGGACTCTTGGCCTGTAGATGAGATACAGGAAAGCGGATGTAAGTGTGAAGGCAACAGCCCAGTGTTGCTGAGTGCCGGGCACAGCATGTGCCATCATTTCACAGCAACTAAAATGCTGACCTTACAGGTTCATGGTTTCATTTTTGGTCTTCATGAAAAGCTTGAATTCTCTTTAGCTTCAGTTTGCAACACAAATAAAGAATATATTTGAGACTGATTGTCACAGAATTTTCTAATTACCCACATGTGGAGCGATTTCCTAATGTGAAATACTTTTCTTGATGGTATGAGATCAGTACCATTGGACATACACAGTTTATTCAGTTGGCCTTTGGTAAAAAGAAGTTCTTTGGTATGCAAAAATTTTCCAAGTCACTTCTTGCAATATTATAAAATGTATTACTTGAATAAAATGTTGAACTCATGGTCCCTTGAGTTTTTATTACTTGGGATATTTCTTTGTTCAAAGTTAGATAAGCATCATGTAAATAGATCTTTGTTGTTCAGTCATACAGCATTTAACATCAAATTTCTTTGAGGATTTAACTAACCAAATTAATCACAAAATGGGGCTTGGGCTTTCTCAGGTGTCCCTAATACACCCACAGCAGTAAGCACTTCAGAATGAGATCATTCTGCTTAAGAGCTCAAGAAATTAAGTTGAGAAAGTAAGCTAGAAGACCACATAGATTGTCATTAGTGTTAAACTGGGGTAAAAAGGAGAGAGAAAGAGAAGAAATCAGCTGGGACAGAGCACAAATATTTGTTAAATGGAAGTGACAGGTTATAGGTTTTCTTTGCCTTCTCGTAAATACATCAAACACAGATACGGTATTGAACAGAGGATTTAGACATAAAATTGATTAATCCATTTAAACATAATAAGTTATTTAGAACTTAAGTGCTACTGTTTCATAAAACTTCTAATATCATCTGTCCATAGATGCTGGAAAACACTTTAGCATACATTTTTAATTTCTCAGGCTTCAGTAATTTGGTAACCAAATAAAGGTTTAGAATGAGCCTTGGAAGACACGAGTTCCAGACTAACTGGGTCATGTGTCAATGGAGCCACCCTGCACTGGGGACAGCACTAGGTTTGAGGGCAGGGGCTGGAGGGAAGAGCTCCAGGGACGTTTTTGCCCATAGCTTGCTGTTGTGAGGAAGGGTTCCCTTCCCACAGTCTTTCCCATGGCTGTTGCCTTCATGACATTCAGATCTCAGCTCAGATACCACTTTGTAAGGGTCTTCTATCCCCTTTTCATCACTCGCTTTCATAGGGTTCCATTTTATTTTCTTTGTAGCACTTACCACTATTCATAATGTTTGTTTACATGTTTATTTTCTCATTTCCCCATTAGAATATATGCTCCTTGAGAACAGGAATGTTGTCTTTGCTTTTCATTGCTGTGCCCCCTGTAATTACAGCAGTGATTATTTATTTATTTATTGGGTATCTCATTGTGGTTTTTCTTTTGTTACTTATTTATTTTATTTTATTTTAGATTCAGGAGGTACATGTACAGGTTTATTATGTGGTTATAGTGTGTAATGGTGAGGTTTGTGCTTCTAGTGTGTTCATCACCCAGACAGTGAATGTTGTACCCAATAGATAATTTTTCAGCCCTCATCTTCCTCCAGCACTTCCCCTTTCAAGTCCCCAGTGTCTATTAATTCCATCTTTATGTCCACATATACCCATCATTTATGTCCCACTTAGAAGGGAGATGATGTGGTATTTGACTTTCTGTTTCGGAGTTAGTTCATTTAGGATAATGACCTCCAGCTCCATCCATGTTGCTGCAAAAGACATGATTTCATCTTTTTAAGGCTGCATAGTATTCTGTGGTATAAATGCACCACATTTTCTTTATCCAATCCTCCGTTGATAGACACGTTGATTCCATGACTTTGCTATTGTGAATAGGGCTTCAATAAACATAGGAGTGCAGGTGTCTTTTTTTATATAATGATTTCCTTTGGGTGGATGTTCCCTATTAGGATTACTAGGTCAAATGGTAGTTCTATTTTTAGTTCTTTGAGAAGTCGCCATACTGTTTTCCATAGAACCTGTACTAATTTACATTCTCACCAACAGTGTATAAGCATTCCTTTTTCTCACATCCAGTGTTGTTTTTTGACTTTTTAATAAAAGCTGTTCTGATTGGTGTTAGATGGTATCTCATTGTAATTTTAATTTGCATTTCTCTGATGATTAGTTATGTTGGACATTTTTTCATATGTTTGTTGGATGCTTGTATGTCTTCTTTTGAGAAATGTCTGTTCATGTCTTTTGCCCACTTTTTAATGGGGTTACTTGTTTTTTTCTTGTTGATTTAAGTTCCTTGTAGACTCCGGATATTAGTCTTTTGTTGCATGTATGATTTCCAAATGTTTTCTCCCATTCTGTAGATTGCCTGTTTACACTGCTATTTCTTTTGCTCTGCAGAGCTTTTTGGTTTAACGAAGTCTCATTTGTCTATTTTTGTTTTTGTTGCATCTGCTTTGAGGTCTTAGTCATAAATCCTTTGCCTAGGCCAATGTCCAGAAGAATTTTTCCTAGGTTTTCTTCTAGGATTTTTATAGTTTCAGGTCTTACACATTTAAGTTTTTAATCCATCTTGACTTAATTTTTATATATGGTGAGAAATAGGGGTCCAGTTTCATTTTTCTGCACGTAGTGAATATTTAATGTTTATCGAATATGCAGGGGCATTTATTCTTATCTGTTGGCCCTTTGTCTTAAAGAATGGTTTGAAACACACAGACATACAGGAGCTTATACTAATCTTTTATGACTTTCCACCTATAGTTTATTTAGTCCACAGTTTAGCACATAATATTTTGTATTGGTGTTTATCTCAATGAGACTGAACATGTTTTGAGTGCAGAGATCATGTCTTCAGCTTGGTGTTGCCTCTTGGTAGTACCTCCCATCATTATGAATACAGAATGATGATGTCTGGGGGATTTGGGTTCTGTCCCTGCTGCAGTAGCCGATGATTTGATAGTTTTCTATATTTGGGGAACATTTTACTTTTTGACGTTCAGCATGGGGCAGCTTGGAGAATTTTGCTCTTCTGTTAAAAGTTCTGTGAAATTTTCTCAGTGTTAAGGATATTGATATTTGGGTCTCAGGCGAGCTTTAAATGATTACTTCCCCAGTTCTCTTGTGTTAGTCATTGTTTGCCATCCTTGGGTGCAACTAGTTATTAAAGCAGCTAAACTCTTAAACTTTATTTGGTTTTAAAATTGATTGTCACTGCTATTCTAGTTAATGGTTCTTAAGTTTTCCACAGCTGGTTTGTTTTGCTGTCTTATTATCCTGTATTTGATTTGTTAGTCAACTTCCAGCTGTTTGGGGCATTTGTACTTTACCTGGGTTTAAGTCAGAAATATCTCTGAGTATAAAGAGAAATGATTTTTCTTTTAATTTCTGGGCTTTCAGGCCATAATTCTTGACTTCTTCCAGCTTTTCAGACACAGGCATATATATTTTAACAAGAAAAAAGTCTACTTTTAAAAATATTGCTTTTTAACTAAAACAGCTTATTTTCAAAAAGTGGGTGCTATTCCATTCAGGAAAAAAAAGTTTATCTACCTTAGTATTTTTTAATTAATAGACTTCTTTGGAGCAGTTTTAGTTTTATAGAAGAATTGAGCAGAAAGCACAGAGGTCCCATCTATCCCCTCCTGCCTCCCCCTTCACAGTTTCTCCTAGTAACATCTTGAATTAGTATGGTACCTTTGTTACAATTGATGAACCAATATTGAGGCATTATTTTTAACTGAAGTGCCATAGTTTTTATTAGAGTTCATTCTTTGTGTTCTACATTCAATGGGTTTTAATAAGTACATAGTGTCATGTATCCACTATTACAGTATCATACAGAACAGTTTCACTGCTTTACAAATCCCTTGTGCTCTGCCTGTCCATTCTTCCCCTCCTCTCCCGGCACCTTCAGCACCACCACCCTCCCATCCCTAACCCCAGGCAACTACGGATCTCTTTAGTCTCCATAGTTTTGCCATTTCCTGAATATCATGTATGCAGTAGGAATCATACAGTATATATAGCCTTTTCAGATTGACTTCTTTCACTTAGAAATGTACGTTTAAGATTCCTCCATGTCTTTGTGGCTTGATATAGCTCATCTCTTTTTATTGCTGAGTAATGTTCCATGTATGGATATACCACAGTTTGTTCATCTATTTACCTATTGAAAGAAATCATATTTGCTTCCAAGTTTTGGCAGTTAGAATAAGGCTGCTATAAACATTCACGTGCAGGTTTTTGTATGGACATACATTTTCAACCCATTTGGCTAAATACGGAGCACAATTGGCAAGACTCTGTTTAGTTTTGTAAGAAACTGCCAAGCTGTCTTCCAAAGTGACTTCCATTTTGCATTCTTACCAGGAATGAATGAGAGTTCCTACTGCTCCATAACTTCAGAAGCATTTGGTATTGTCAGTGTTTTGGATTTTAGTCATTCTCTTCATTGGTGTCTTGTTTTAATTTGCAGTTCCCTAATAATAACTCATGTTGAGCATTTTTTCAGATCTTTCGCTCATTTTAAAATTAGGTTTGATTTCATACTGCTTGCCCACCCCAGCTTTATTTAGGTATGATTGTCAAATAAAAATTGTATGACAAATAAAAATTATATACAGTGTGATTATTTGGTAATGTGTATACATTGTGAAATAATTACCATAATCAAGGTAATGTATTCATCACCTCACATAGTTAACCCCCTCTTTTTATAGTGAGAACGCTTAAGATCTACTCTCTTAGCACATTTCAAGAATACAGTATATTATTAACTATAGTCATCATGCTATACATTAGAACTCCAGAATTTATTTGTCTTATAACTGAAAGTTTATATCATTTGACATTACTCCCAACGCCAATCCCCATTCTCCAGCACCTAGTCCTCTACTTTTTGTTTCAATGAATTTGACTTTATTTTTCATTTTTTGTTTTTTTTTTTTTTGGGGAGACAGAGTCTTGCTCTGTTGCCCAGGGAGGAGTGCAGTGGCACCATCTTGGCTCACTGCAACCTCTGCCTCCAGGCCTCAAGCAATTCTCATGGCTCAGCCTCCCGAGTAACTGGGAGTACAGGCACATGCCACCACGCCGGGCTAATTTTTGTATTTTTAGTAGAGATGGGGTTTCGCCGTGTTGGCCAGGCTGGTCTTGAACTCCCAACCTCAAGTGAACCCCCCACCTCAGCCTCTCAAAGCGCTGGCATTACAGACGTGAGCCACTGTGCCCAGCCAGAGTTTGATTCTACTAAAGAATCAAATTCTACTAGCCAGAATTGATTCTACTAAAGAATCAATTCTACTAGCCAGAGTGTTTAGATTCTACTAAAACACTCCATATTAGTGGGTATCTAATGTTGTGCTGCTAAAACAGAATACTTGGGACTGGATAATTTATAAACTGTAGAAGTTTATGTGGCTCACAGTTTTGGAGGTTGGGAAGTTCAAGATCAAGAGGCCGCATCTGGTGGAGGCTTTCTTGCTGTGTCAAAATGGGGTGTAGGGCATCATGTGGCAGAAGTTGGATGGCAGGAGCATACAAGAGCAAGAGAGGGATGAACTCACTTTTATAACCCTCTCTCAAAAATGAATCCACTAGCATGGTAAAAGCATGAATACATTCATGAGGACAAAGCCCTCATGACCACTTCTTAAAGGTATCCTCTCAACTCTTGTATTGGAGATTAAATTTTCTTGTATGTTTAAGTTCTTTGTAGACTCTGGATATTAGCCCTTTGTCAGGTGGACAGATTGCAAAAATTTTCTCCCATTCTGTAGGTTGCCTGTTCACTCTGATGATAGTTTCTTTTGCTGTGCAGAAGCTCTTTAGTTTAATTAGATTCCGTTTGTCAATTTTGGCTTTTGTTGCCATTGCTTTTGGTGTTTTAGACATGAAGTCTGCCCTGCCTATGTCCTGAATGGTATTGTCTAGGTTTTCTTATAGGATTTTTATGGTTTTAGGTCTTACGTTTAAGTCTTTAATCCATCTTGAGTTGATTTTTGTACAAGGTGTAAGGAAGGGGTCCAGTTTCAGTTTTCTGCATATGGCTAGCCAGCTTTCCCAACATCATTTATTAAATAGGGAATCTTTTCCCCATTGTTTGTGTCAGGTTTGTCAAAGATCAGATGGTTGTAGATGTGTGGTGTTATTTCTGAGTCCTCTGTTCTGTTCCAATGGTCTATATATATCTGTTTTCATACCAGTACCATACTGTTTTGGTTACTGTAGCCTTGTAGTATAGTTTGAAGTCAGGTAGTGTGATGCCTCCAGCTTTGTTCCTTTTGCTTAGGATTGTCTTGGCTATGCGAGCTCTTCTTTGAGAAGACTTTTTCCAATTCTGTGAAAAAAGTCAATGGTAGCTTGATGGCGATAGCATTGAATCTGTAAATTACTTTGGGCAGTATGGCAATTTTCATGATATTGATTCTTCGTATCCATGAGCATGGAATGTTTTTCCATTTGTTTGTGTCCTCTCTTATTTCCTTGAGCAGCGGTTTGTAGTTCTCCTTGAAGAGGTCCTTCACATCCCTTGTAAGTTGTATTCCTAGTTATTTTATTATCTTAGTAGCAATTGTGAATGGGAGTTCACTCATGATTTGGCTCTCTGTTTGTCTGTTATTGGTGTATAGGAATGCTTGTGATTTTTGCACATTGATTTTGTATCCTGAGACTTTGCTGAAGTTGCTTATCAGCTTAAGGAGATTTTGGGCTGAGATGATAGGGTTTTCTAAATATACAATCATGTCATCTGCAAACAGAGACAATTTGACTTCCTCTCTTCCTATTTGAATACCCTTTATTTCTTTCTCTTGCCTGATTGCCTTGGCCAGAACATCCAATATTATGTTGAATAGAAGTGGTGAGAAGAGGGCATCCCTGTCTTATGCCAGTTTTCAAAGGGAATGCTTCCAGTTTTTGGCCATTCAGTATGATATTGGCTGTGGGTTTGTCATAAATAGCTCTCATTATTTTGAGATACGTTCCATCAGTACCTAGTTTATTGAGAGTTTTTAGCATGAAGGGGTGTTGAATTTTGACAAAGGCCTTTTCTGCATCTATTGAGTTAATCTTGTGGTTTTTATCATTAGTTCTGTTTATGTGATGGATTACGTTTATTGATTTGCGTGTGTTGAACCAGCCTTGCGTTGCAGGGATGAAGCCAACTTGATTGTGGTGGATAAGCTTTTTCATGTGCTGCTGGATTTGGTTTGCCAGTATTTTATTGAGGATTTTTGCATTGATGTTCATCAGAAATATTGGCCTGAAATTTTCTTTTTTTGTTGTGTCTTTGCCAGGTTTTGATATCAGGATGATGCTGGCCTCATAAAATGAATTAGGGAAGATTCCTTCTTTTTCTATTGTTTGGAATAGTTTCAGAAGGAATGGTACCAGCTCCTCTTTGTACCTCTGGTAGAATTCAGCTGTGAATCCGTCTGGTCCTGGACTTTTTTTGGTTGGTAGGCTATTAATTGCTGCCTCAATTTCAGAACTTGTTATTGGTCTATTCAGGGATTCAACTTCTTCCAGGTTTGGCCTTGGGAGGGTGTATGTGTCCAGGAATTTATCCATTTCTTCTAGATTTTCTAGTTTATTCGCCTAGAGGTGTTTATAGTGTTCTCTGATGGTAGTCTGTATTTCTGTGGAATGGGGGGTGATATCCCTTTATCATTTTTTATTGCATCTATTTGATTCTTCTTGCTTTTCTTCTTTATTAGTCTGGCTAGAGGTCTATCTATTTTGTTGATCTTTTCAAAAAACCAGCTCCTGGTTTCATTGGTTCATTGATTTTTTTGAAGGGTTTTTCGTGTCTCTATCTCCTTCAGTTCTGCTCTGATCTTAGTTATTTCTCGTCTTCTGCTAGCTTTTGAATTTGTCTGCTGTTGCTTCTCCAGTTCTTTTAATTTTGATGTTAGGGTGTCAGTTTTAGATCTTTCCTCCTTTCACTTGTGGGCATTTAGTGCTATAAAGTTCCCTCTACACACTCCTTTACATGTGTCCCGGAGATTCTGGTACGTTGTGTCTTCGTTCTCATTGGTTTCAAAGAACATCTTTATTTCTGCCTTCATTTCATTATTTACCCAGTAGTCATTCAGGAGCAGGTTGTTCGGTTTCTTAATCCTGAGTTCTAATTTGATTGCACTGTGGTTTGCGAGTCTGTTTATTATGATTTTCATTCTTTTGCATTTGCTGAGGAATGTTTTACTTCCAATTATGTGGCCAATTTTAGAATAAGTGCGATGCAGTGCTGAGAAGAATGTATATTCTGTTGATTTGGGGTGGAGAGTTCTGTAGATGTCTATTAGGTCCTCTTGGTCCAGAACTGAGTTCAAGTCCTGAATATCCTTGTTAATTTTCTGTCTTGTTGATCTGTCTAATATTGACAGTGGGGTGTTCAAATCTCCCACTATTATTGTGTGGGAGTCTAAGTCTCTTTGTAGGTCTCTAAGAACTTGCTTTATGGATCTGGGTGCTCCTGTATTGGGTGCATATATATTTAGGATAATTAGCTCTTGTTGCATTGATCCCTTTACCATTATGTAATGCCCTTCTTTGTTTTGATCTTTGTTGGTTTAAAGTCTGTGTTATCAGAGATTAGGATTGCAACTCCTGCTTCTTTTTGCTTTCCATTTGCTTGGTAAATATTCCTCCATCCCTTTATTTTGAGCCTATGTGTGTCTTTGCACGTGAGATGGGTCTCCTAAATACAGCACACTGATGGGTCTTGACTCTATCCAATTTGCCAGTCTGGGTCTTTTAACTGGGGCATTTAGTCTGTTTACACTTAAGGTTAATATTGTTATGTGGAATTTGACCCTATCCTTATGATGCTAGGTGGTCATTTTGCCTGTTAGTTGATGCAGTTTCTTCATAGTGTCAATGGTCTTTACAATTTGCAATGTTTTTGAAGTGGCTGACTAGTTTTTCCTTTCTACGTTTAGTGCTTCCTTCAGGAGCTCTTGTAAGGCAGACTTGGTGGTGACAAAATCTCTCAGCATTTGCCTGTCTGTAAAGGACTTTATTTCTCCTTTGCTTATGAAGCTTAGTTTGGCTGGATATGAAATTCTGGGTTGAAAATTGTTTTCTTAAAGAATATTTAATATTGGCCCCCAGTCTCTTCTGGCTTGTAGGGTTTCTGCTGAGAGATCCACTGTTATTCTGATGGGCTTCCCTTTGTGGGTAACCTGACCTTTCTCTCTGTCTGCCTTTAACATTTTTTCCTTCATTTTAGCCTTGGTGAATCTGATGATTATGTGTCTTGGGGTTGCTCTTCTCGAGGAGCATCTTTGTGGTGTTTTCTATGTTTCCTGAATTTGAATGTTGACCTGTCTTGCTAGGTTGGGGAAGTTCTCCCGGATAACATTCTGAATAGTGTTTTCGAACTTGGTTCCATTTTCCCCGTCACTTTCGGGTACACCAGTCGAACGCAGATTTGGTCTTTTCATCTAGTCCCATATTTCTTGAAGCTTTGTTCTTTCCTTTTTATTCTTTTTTCTCTAATCTTGTCTTCTCACTTCATTTCATTAAGTTGGTCTTCAGTCTCTGATATCCTTTCTTCCGCTTGATTGATTCGGCTATTGATACTTGTGTGTGCTCCACGAAGTTCTCATGCTGTGTTTTTCAGCTCCGTCAGGTCATTTATATTCTTCTCCAAACTGGTTATTCTAGTTAGCAATTCATCTAACCTTTTTTCAAGGTTCTTAGCTTCCTTACATTGGGTTAGAACATGCTCGTTTAGCTTGGAGGAGTTTGTTATTACCCACCTTCCAAAGCCTGCTTCTGTCAATTTGTCAAACTCATTCTCCGTCCAGTTTTGTTCCCTTGCTGGTGAGGAGTTGTGATCCTTTGGAGGTGAAGAGGCCTTCTGGTTTTTGGAATTTTCAGCATTTTTGTGCTGGTTTCTCCCCATCTTTGTGGATTAATCTACCTTTGGTCTTTGATGTTGGTGACCTTTGGATGGAGTCTTTGAGTGGACATGCTATTCCTTTCTGTTTGTTAGTTTTCTTTCTGACAGTCAGGCCCCTCTGCTGCAGGTCTGCTGGAATTTGTTGGAGGTCCACTCCAGACCCTGTTTGCCTGGATTTCATCAGTGGAGGCTGCAGAACAGCAAAGATTGCTGCCTGTTCTTTCCTCTGGAAGCTTCGTCCCAGAGGGGCACCTGCCAGATGCCAGCCAGAGCTCTCCTGTGTGAAGTGTCTCTCAGCCCATACTGGGAGGTGTCTCCCAGTCAGGATACACGGGGGTCAGGGACCCACTTGAGGAGGCAGTCTGACCCTTACCAGAGCTCATACACTGTGCTAGGAGGTCCGCTGCTCTCTCTAGAGCCATCAAGCAGTGACGTTTAAGTCTGCTGAAGCTGCACCCGCAGCCATCCCTTCCCCCAGGTGCTCTGTCCCACGGGGATGGGGGTTTTATCTATAAGACCCTGACTGGGGCTGCTGCCTTTTTTTTCAGAGATGCCCTGCCCAGAGAGGAGAAATCTGGTAGTCTGGCCACAGCGGCCTTGCTGAGCTGCAGTGCACTCCGCAAGCTCCTGAACATCTTGTTCAATAGAATACTCAACATCCATATAAAACATGAGTGCAAATTTACATGGATTATGAAAAGACATCCAAGTTGTATTGTTATATGGGGAAAAGCAGTTTACATAACAGCATGAATATTAAGATTCTGTGTGTGCATGTGACACATAGAAAAACATCTGGAAGGATGTGAATCACAATGTTAGGTAGAGAAAAAAATTAATAGATTAATAGTGCTTATCTCTACAGCATGAGAATTTCAGTGATTTTTTTTTTACTCTGATGGATATTTTTAATATAATTCTTTGTTGTTTGAAAGTTTTACATTGAACATTTGTTACTTTAAAATTAAGGGGAAACGTTTCTGTTTTGAGAAGAACCTGATTGAATTGTGTTGTTTTGAAAAAGAAGTTCACTTTTAGAATTTTAGGCAACAGAAGAGGATGTTCTCAGTCAGGGGCCACCCTTCTTGGCACCTTTATAAAGCGGACAAACACCTTCATACTGTCATGTATAAGCCAAGATACTTTCTTCCTGCAGCAGCATGGCCTTGTAAATGACGGGAATGGGCTTTCTTACTCTTTCTTCCATTTCATTTGTATATGTCACTGTGATATCATTGCTATAATTTTTTCTTCTCTGGTTTTATTTTTCAGGAAGATTTCGATGTCGATCATTTTGTGTCTGACTGTAGGAAGCGGGTCCAGCTGGAAGAACTGAGAGATGACCTGGAGCTCTACTATAAACTTCTTAAAACAGCCATGGTCGAACTCATCAACAAGGATTATGCAGATTTTGTCAATCTTTCAACAAACTTGGTAAACTTTAAATCCACGGTCCCATTTACATACATACAATTTCTTTCTCACTCATACTTATTCTTAGAAGTGTTGTGTGTTTTTAGAAACCTTTTAGTTGATGTCCTCACAGAAATTTGAAGAGATCCCTAATGTCATCAATAAAATAACCAAACTTTCTTGATATACAATTTTGCTTTTTTACTTAAGACTATTCTAAATTAAATATTTTTTTAATTTGATATTATTAGTGAAAAACAAAGGCTAGCAGTAGCAGACTGGTTGTTTTCATTAGCAGCTGATTACCATGAAATCTCTCTGGTTTAGACCAATTTGCAAGAGCAAATATCAACTGTTCTTAAGGAAGTGTTTAATTTACTTTCAGATACATACGCTAGCCACAGCTAGATTGAGAGAACATTGGCCAGTATTGATCTTTAGGAGGCTTGGTTTTATAAAATGTGAGAATAGTTTGTCACGAGCATATCAGCTGTTCATAAAAGTAGGTTAGAAGTGCTTATATTTTAATACTCCCAAAGTTTGCCTTTTGGTCATCCTGTTCCTATTTTATTTTACTTTTAAAACTCTCTCCAAAGAAGTACAGAAAGTAGCCATCTCCATGGAAATTTTAAGAAGCATTAAAATTAATGAGCCATATTTGCATTTGGGAAATGTACATCTAAGATAAATGTTGTAGTAGGATTAGAAACCTAGAAAATTATATTTCCATTCTATTTCATTTTGATTTTTCTCAAGGGTTATAATGGTTAGGATAGATATACTCCTTGAGACTTTCACATCAACTGGTTGAATATTGTAAATTACAGACAGATAGCTCTTTATCTCCAGTTAAAATTTCTCAAATTCATTAAAATATTTTATTCAGAGGCAAATTGTGCCTAAGGAGGCTTTTATTTATTATGACTTCTCTTATTTTTATAGTTTTCATGTACATCAAAGGTTTTTTCACATTCTATCAGCAATATTTATTATAAAATAACATTTGTTATTTAGTTACTTAACAATATATGGTTGTTCATTTTGTTGTACAGAAAGAATAACCTAAGTCTAGCACTACATTGATCATTAAATGGATACTTAGCTGTTACTCTTGATTGTGAGGTGTGTGTGCCAACATGATTTCTGCCTTTAGGTTGGCATGGACAAAGCCCTCAACCAGCTTTCTGTGCCTTTGGGACAATTACGAGAAGAGGTTCTGGTAAGTTTCCCGAATAACATCAAACAGTTTACCCTAAAGCATGATATGCTTGTTTGCCCTTCCAAAAAAAAATTCCTTTAATCTGTTAGGTTGTTGATTTTTGTTTTTTGAATGTTTAGTAATTATAATACTCATCCTCAGAAAAGTTGTAAATCCTTCTCTATTTTTTGCGTGTGATACTATAACCAAAAAAATGTTATGTTTGATTTGAATATGACAGATTCTTAGAGTAGACAGCTTTAAAATGTTGGGGGAGGAGAAGAAGGCTATTTGAAAACTCAACTTGTTACTGTCAGCTCACTCATATGTAGGTAGTCACTAATTTAAGAATAGCTTCTATTTTAAAAATTTGTAGTTTTACAAATATTTTCCCAAATAATATTTTATATATTGTTAGGTTTCTAGACTAGTCCACAGAAGCTCTGTAAACCCTAATGTAACCAAAGGATAATATACAATTAATGTAATAACTAATTGTATTTATTTTAATGTTTCTGTAAGATAATGTCTGCTGTGAGTTGGGACTCCCCATGTCTAAGCCATTGGAGACAGGGACTCCATCCGGATGAACAGTAGAGAAGGGAGTTTTGGCATCATTTTCAACAGAAAAGTGTGCTACCCTGTCCTGTCCCTGCTGGTCCACCCCACAGTCTGTGTCAGGCACCCCGACTTCCATGCTGTCTTAGGATTGATGAACTGTCATAAACTTCGTTGATTGCACCATTATTACCTGTGTATGTCACCATTAGATCATGCGCAGCTTGAGTAGCCTTATGCACTTAGCCCCTAAGACAGTCCCTGGCACATAGTATGCTCACAGTAGGTGACATAAGTAAACATTCAGTGCATGTGTAGTGCTGAAAAAAAAAATGCAAAATAATAGAAATGTCAGTGTTTAGAAGTCCATAAGAATGGCAGGCAAGAAATAATTCTTAAAAGAGAGGTCTCAAGTTGTGCCTTGAACTAGCAAATATTTTCAAATGTTTATGTCTTGTTTGATTTTTTAAAAAAGCTTTTAAAGTACTTCTTCTTGGCATGGAAGGAAAATAGTTTTTGTGATCCACTGTTGGATTCCACACTCTGGGTGGCTTTTACATGGCTCTTGGGTGGCTCTCCTGCCTTCTTTTCAGTGTACCTCTTCCTACCCCCACCCTTGGAGATAGGGTGTTTTCCGAGCCTCAGCCCTCAGTCCTCAGCCCTCTCCTCTCCCTCCTCTCCTCTCCTCTTCTCTCCTCTCCAAATTCTCTCCCATGGAGGTGGATTCACTCTCCCGAATTCTGCTCTGTCATTGTTAACTGCTGTCTCACCTGCAGGCTCTAGTCTTTTCCTTGCCACCTGCCAGCACCATATGCTCTCCCTCCTTCCACAGCTGTCTCTATAGCCACCTTTTTCCTGATTGGTTTAGCCGTAGACCTGTTCTTCCTTTTTGGCTTCCAACTCATGAAGCTACTCTGTGAGATTCTGCAGTCGTTGAGAAATGAGACTATTTCTATCTTGTTCACCATTGCATCCTCATTGGCTTGCACAATAGCTGGCATTTAATAGGTATTTTGTAACATTTGTGGGATGAATGAATTCATTTTTCTATAGAATTTTTGTGATTTCTCCAGTTTATTCTAGTTTTTCCATTACTTTCATTTTGGCCCTAATTTCTGATTAATTCATTAGCTTCTGGACATGTTTCTCCACTTATGACCTCTCCTTTTCCTTGCATCCTGTTCTTGACTTCTTGATTCTGAATTTTCCCAAAACAACTTTTTCATGATATATTAGTACTTAAAATGTGTAGAATCTGGTCTAAAGTCTTATCTGGTCATAGCCCTCTTGAATTAACCCTTCCTGTTTTATTTCTACTTTTGTCCAAATTGATGCCTGCAGTACCCCCGGATGTATTCCTCACTGGTCCTGAAATATGTCATTACTGTTCTATCTTCCTGCCTTGTCTTCTGATAATCTTTTCTCTACGCTTGTCAGCATCCACAAATTTTTAGAATCTACCTCAAGTCTCATCTCCCCCACCAGACACCCTTATACTTTGACTCAGGTTATCCTTTCTTTACCCTGACCACCTGTGATGCTCATTGTATATATATTAATTTTCTTTTGGCAGCCAATCTTGCATGACCTTGGCTTTATATGTCATTTTCCCCTAAATCTTGAGACACAAACAGCAATTGTGTCTAATATTTTGTAATTTGTCAATATCTGTGTAATACTGGCCTGTAGGTGTTAAGTCCTGTGGAATTGAATTAAATGTGTAAATTTCATAATGTTACAAAACAATCTCTGCAGTACTTTTTTTTTTTGTCTTTTAAAGAGCCTTAGATCGTCTGTCAGTGAAGGAATTCGGGCAGTTGATGAACGAATGTCTAAACAAGAGGACATTAGGAAAAAAAAGGTATACTCAAATATTACAATATTAAATCGTTGATTCACTGTAGCACCTTGTAGTAACAAGCACTTTCAGGCATATGGTCTGATTTACTCTTCTTGATACCTTTGCAGAGAGGAGTGTGATGTGTCTCTTTTATATTAAAGTGTTTATATTAAATAAATAAATAAATGTATTTATTAGATGTATTTATGTATTTATTTTTCTTTTGATAACTTTAGTACCCAAGCACACTTATTAAAATCTCAAGGGAGAGAAGCCTGTTTTAGAGATCTTCTGTTTAATTCTCCTTTAGATCCCTTCTCAGCTTTTGTCCAAAGATTCAAGAATGTAGTGCACTGCTAGAAAAGATTGTCCACTTCATGAGAAGGGGATTTTTGCCTGTTTTATCCACTTATATCCCCAATGTGTAGAAGAATGTCTTGGTTCATGGTAGATGCTTTGTAACTATTTATTTAATGAATGACTTAATTTTTGTTATTTTAACAATGAGTTTTTATAATGTTCCTTGATAATATCTGCCTTGTGTAATAAATGTCTTTAATGAATTGGCACTTAACGTTTATTGGTATATCATGCACATGTAAATGAAGAGGACAAATATGATCAGAAACTAAGAACATAAAAAAAGGACCTTACGAACATAAATGTAGTACCAAAATAAAGGTTTATATAAGATAGGGGAAAGAGGCCAGGTGTGGTGGCTCACACCTGTAATCTCAGTAGTTTAAGAGGCTGAGGCAGGCAGATCGCTTGAGCTCAGGACTTTGAGAACAGCCTGGGCAACATAGCAAAACCCTGTCTTTACAAATAATACAAAAAAATTCTCCAGATGTGGTGGTGTGTGCCTATAGTCCCAGCTACTTGGGAGGCTGAGGTGGGAGGATCACTTGAGCCTGGGAAGTTGAGGCTGCAGTGAGCCAAGATCACAGCACTGCACTCCAGCCTGGGTGATAGAGTGAGACCCTGTCCTAAAAAAGATGGGGAAAAGAAAGAAGGAATAAGGATATAATATAAGAAACCAAAAAAAAAAAGTTTTTTTAAAAATTCTGAAATTGTGATAGAATATTGAAATATGTTTGTTCTAGAAAGCCAAAAGATTTGCATTCTTGGGAATTTTGTGTTATGTAGAAATACTAAAAATATAGAATGCTATAGGTAATTTTACGTTGACTTTTGACTTTGTATTTTCCTGTACTTAGGATGATGAAATAAGAAAATTAAGATTAAACATGACAATAACTTTTTTCCTTAATTTTTATTTATAGATGTGTGTATTGAGGCTTATACAAGTTATTCGGTCAGTTGAGAAAATTGAAAAAATCTTAAACTCTCAAAGTTCTAAAGAAACCTCTGCACTAGAAGCAAGCAGGTAAGTATTTTTTATTAAATAACTCGTAAATTAATACTTCACATCCAGAGTAAAAACTTTTTTAGTTAGAACTCATTTCTGATAAAGAAGAAAATCCCAGTCTATGGCTTAGTGTTTTTAAATGTAGCTCAAGCAAAGCAGAGTGCATGAAATGGTAAAGCTTATACATATTATTATATAGCCTTGATGGTCGTAGGCCACTGTTCCAACACAGCACCTTTCAGGGAGTCAGAGAACGTGTACTTTCTGTGGAAGGTTTTTATTTTTGAAATTGCCTTACCCATGGACTAGTGAAATCCCTACTGACCTTCAAGGTGTGGAATAGCAGTCATCTTATTTAGACAGGCCCAGAGTATTCCAGTTGATGTATCTTGAGGTTCAAAATGCACGAGTGTTATTAAGAAATAGTACAGGACATATTTCACTGAAATTTATAAACAGCAAAGAAAAAGCTTGCAAAATAAGCAAAAGATGACTGTTTCCTTTGTTATACTGTAGTGTCTTATTACCTTCCCACACTGAATTTAAAATCAGTCAGGTAGTTGAGTGACTCAGAAAATGAATTGAATGGATCATTATGAACATTAATGGGAAACTCCATGGTGCAGTGGAAAGAGCATGGGCTTATGTTGCATGTACCAGCTGGGTAGCCTGAGTCAGGTTACTTCACTCTGTGTCTTGGTGTTGTCATCTCTCATATAAGGCTAATAGGAACTCCACTTGCAGGATTGGTAGCCATAGACTAGACCCTCATACATGTCTAGTTTGAGCCTAACACAAGCATCTCTGAAAGTCACATTGATAGCCATCATACTTTTCCTTGACTAATATGGGATAAGCTACAGGAAAACCAACCAGGACCAAATGGAATATACCTGCAGTTCAAAGTCCTGATCGTATTATCAAGACAAGTTGGATTTCTTAATTTTAGGAATCAGAATTTTAGATTTGGAGAGACTGTAGAGACAGTATGCTGTGTTTCTCTCATTTTATAGATGAGGAGATGAGGCATCCGAAAAGGAAATTATTCTCATGTCCTAGGTCTCTACTTTCTTTCCTGATCGAGATGTATAAATAAGTGGTCAATCGCTGCCATCTTTTTTCTTCAGCCTGTAGTACTTCTGCTTCTGTCCGTTCTGTTCCCCTTCATCTGCGCTCATCAGAGTCCCCATCAGTGTCAGTTCTGAGAGCCCAGCAGAGCCCTGTTCCACTAACTGCTCTGCTTCTGTCTTCCACTCAACAGCATTGACAGCCCCTCCCAACTATGTCCTCACTTGGCATCTGTGATACCTGCCTCCTCATTTTCTTTTCCTCCTTCCCCATTCCTACTCTGTTCCTTTGATGGACTCCACTGCCCTTTTTCATGCCAGCTTTCTCCAGGGCACTGTTCTTGGGACTGTGCTCTTGATCAGCACTTTCTGGGTAACCTCATCCAACCCCATGGTTTTAATGGCCTCCTGGATGCTGATCTCTTTATCTGCAGACGAACTTCTGTAGTCCTCAGACTCATCAGTCTGCTGACTGCGGGGAGTTTAGTGGACGTTCTCCAGGCACTTCACATTCATCATGTTGAAAACTGAGCTCTCATCTTCTTTCCCTGCCTCTCTCCACCAGCAAAAACATTTTACTCCTCCCTTTTATTCCTTGTCTTAGGAAACGGTGCCTTTATTTCCTTCACTAACGAGGCTAGACATCTTGGGGGAGTCATTTTCTCCTTTTTTAAACTTCATCTCCTTCTGGCGTTCACTAGGCAAGCCCTGGAGACTCTGCTGCTCTAGTGTCTCTGAGATTGAGAGATGTCTGCCTCCCCCTCTCAGTTCTCCCATTGCCTCGTTTCAGGCAGTGGCCTCCTGACTGACCTCTCATTTTCTCTAGGACAACTAACCCTAGCTGCCAAATGGATCTTTTAGATTTGTCTAATCACATCTTACTATGTGATTGGGAAACAATGGTTTCCTAGTGTTTTTAAGGTAAATCTTAAACTCCCAAGCTGCTCCTTGCCACTTCTGTATTCTTCACTAAAGCTATTCAGAACTACTTTTGGTTCCCTGACTGCCCTGAACATTGCTGACTTACGCTTCCTTAATTTTACTATGTATGGCCATTTGTTGTACTAAAAGCCCTTCCTTTAACTTCCACCTCCCTTTCACCTGCCCGATTTCTCTTTATTCCATCCAAATCTAGCTCAAAACATGCTTAAAGTATAGAAAGTTTAAAAATACTGTGCTAAGTGGAAAAAAAGCAGGTTATAAAACGATATGGATTTGTTTTGTAAAATTTATTCTTCTCTTTTGTGTGGGATACTGTTGATCCCTTCTGCTTTCTTTAAAACTGTCTCACTCAGTTCTGTGAGAGAAAGTACAAACAAGACACTACAAGAGTTCCCTTCCATAAAGCTCAATTACAAGACCACCTCTTTTAGCAAGTCTTCCCTGACCTTTCAGATTTAGATGCTCCATCTCCATGCATTCATCGGGCCTCCGGGTCATCCCCTAGACAACTTAACGGTGAGACTGGAACTGTTGATTGGCTTGCATGCCTTCTCAGTCTATAAGGCCCCTGACATCTTTACACCACAGTGTCTGGAACTAGTAGGTACCTAAGAAAAGATAACCAAACGTCTCCCACTAGTGGGGAACGGGCTTCTGATGACCTCAGTGATGTCTGTTTCTAGACATACTCTTATATTATTGTATTATATTATATTCAGTATGTTATATTCAGTATAATAGACACTGCAGTCTTCCTTGCTCCGAATCATCTTTGAGGAGCTTTTCTGATGACCTCAGTGATGTCTGTTTCTAGAGATACTCTTATATTATTGTATTATATTATATTCAGTATGTTATATTCAGTATAATAGACACTGCACTCTTCCTTGCTCCGAATCGTCTTTGAGGAGCTTTTCTTAAATTCAGATCTGCAAATTTGAGCTGTAGTGAAGGTAAAACCAGGGCAATATTACTGAATAGTAGATATACCATGCTTGTTAAGCCAAGAAACATTTAGATAATTTATAAATAATTAATTCACACGAGATTATTCAGGAAACAGTTAGGGATATTCAAGACAGAGTTTCCCTTTTTGGTTGGTCACACTGGGCAGTTCCTGTTCCTCTAAACTAGTTTGGATGCTACAAATACAGAACTGGGTGGACCACTGATGGTCTCAGTGCAGCATTTTATATGTCCTCATGATAGGGACATTTTTCCTCCCTAACTGGTGATGAGCCATCAGTGTACACAGGATGCCTCAGTATACACAGCAAGTGATTATGCCTTTATACTTCTCCTCTGCTATTTTACTTCCTTTTGAGTGATATTGACATTTTATAATATGTTTGGGGGGAAAAAGTGCATTTATTATATTTTGTGCCAGGTACGTAAAGAATGCCCTCTCACTAGGACCCACAGCATGTAGGTTGACTGCTCTTGCTGTTTGGTAAATGTAATTTTAAAGTAAGTTATTACTATTTAAATTTAAAATAAGATATTTTGAGATATTTATTGCTGCTGGAGAGTCAGTTTCATTCATTGAGGAGACAAATATATTTGGTATTTTAGAAATATCTAGAGGTATTTTAGCAAGGAGAGTGAGGCAGGCAGAGAAGTAGAAAGGATCCAGCTATAAGAAATGAGATGGAAAGAAAAAGAAAAGATAAGGAGGGAGAAGGGGAAAGGGGAGAGGGGGAAGAGGGAAATAGAAGGGAGGTTAAAGCTGAAAAAGAAGGTCATGAATGGGAGAGCTTGGAGTCGGTGGCAGAAACACATAATTGCATGTCCACAGGCCTAGCCAGCCCTGCTGCTGTCTGGTCCCTGTGGGTCAAGGCCAGGCAGCATCAGCAGCTTGTACTCAACAGATTCCCCGGTGCACTTAGAACATGCTGTGCATATGGCGTCTGGGGAACATTGACTGATGGCACAAAAGACGCTTTAGCTTTCACCTTGTAACAAGGTGGCCACATAAAACACTCTGACAAAAGTCAAAATACAGTGGGTATGAAAGTCTCTCACTGCCAGGCGTGTGATGTATTCTCGTGGAAATAGAGACCTTAGGGGTTACACTTCTATAACTGTTTTCTCTACTAGCCCCCTTTTGACTGGACAAATTTTGGAGAGAATTGCCACAGAATTTAATCAGTTACAGTTTCATGCTGTTCAAAGCAAAGGCATGCCTCTTTTGGACAAAGTAAGACCGGTAAGTGTTGTTTTGGATTTCCACAGTTTGGTGTTTAGGGACTTGCTAAATAATTCTGGTTTAAACTAGTAATATTGTTGATCTACAGGGTTTTGAAGCTAACCTTGCATTTTTTTTCAATTTTTAATTTTTTGGGCGCCAGCTTCCTAAGTGTCACACATTATAGATTTTGTGTAAAGACTCAGTCACATTCTCCAGATGATAAGAGTAAAATTAATTCTGAATTTCATGGAATTGGACATCTTATATGATGTAGACAATTAATTTATCCAAAGCCCTTAATTGGATTTTAAATCCATGATGTTTCCTCAAGATTGACTTCGTAGCTTAAGAGGAAGGTAACTTTTTTCTCATTCTGTAATTCTGTCTAAATTCTTCTTTGATGAAGCAGAGATTTACTTATAAAGTGATTGGAGTGAGGGGTTCATTGTTATTCTCCAGGAAAAGTTATTATTTTGATTTTATATATGTCATTATCTGTTGGTGTAAGAGGCTTGTTATATATCTACTTGCAGTTTCAGAAACTGTTACAACTAGAGCTTTTTTTTTATTTACCCACCTTTTCTTGCAGCGTATAGCTGGCATTACAGCCATGTTACAGCAGTCACTGGAAGGTCTCCTATTAGAAGGCCTTCAGACGTCTGACGTCGATATAATACGGCACTGCTTGCGGACTTACGCCACGATTGACAAGACACGGGACGCGGAGGCCTTAGTTGGCCAAGTACTAGTGAAACCATACATAGACGAGGTCTGTGTACCTCCTTCAACAAACATTCATGAGCTTCTGTTCTGTCTTTGACTCTTTACTGGGTGTGAGGAAGATAAGAAGAGAGAACAGAGATCTTTCTGGAAAGATTCTCAGTTCCTACAGTACCAGCTATAAGGAAGGATTGGTCTCCATGGGTTATAGTTGGGAAGTAATGTTACGATGCCAGGAATTGGGCGTGCCGTCTCAGGTGTCCTAGGAATGCTGCGGCTCAGGCTTCAAGGGCGAGATTCAAGGGCATCCACGTGCTTTTAGGTCAATTTTATGGGAGGCGATGGTTCCTCAGTAATTGTTAAAAGAATGTTTTCAAATCACTGGTCTTGTGGGTGGACTAAGGCAATTAAGCAGTGACAACACTGCAGTGTACGAGGAAGGTGCAGGGAGTGCTGTGAGTGTGGAAAGGTGTGTGAGTGGGGTAGACAGTGGTACCCTCAAGTCTTCAGGGAATAAATGACATTTGGCCCAAGTCTTGAAAAATACAGAGGAGTTTGCTGGACGAGGAAGGTGAGAGGAGGAATATTCAAAGATCAAGGGCTTTTATAGCAAATTAGCCAAGTAATACCTTAAATCTAGAACTTGGCTATGCAGTATCCTTCACCTAGTAGGATATAGTTAAAATGTAGGAAACAAGTATATCCCACTTCTGAGCAGCCAGAGTATAGATTGTGCCATATAAAGTTGCTGATATTCAACAGTTTCTGACATACAAAAACAGCAGCTTTGTCTGCTTCAAACTGAGAGAAGTCACTGAGCCCGTCCTCGGTGTTTGGGGACTTTCCTCCAGTGTCCTGTCAGTATGAATGTTCTGACTGTTAGTAAATACAAAGATTATACTCACATGATTTCAGGGTGAAAGTCTTTTATTTTTTAAAGTGGAAAGTTGAGACTCCCAATGATAAAAATGAAATGTAGGGACTCATTTTAATAATTATTTTGGCCTTGTTAAGATTACTAAAAATAAATGATATTTCAGTTCTCTCTGTTTATATCATGTTATATTCCATAGCTGTCTCTATGGGGGTGAAAAAATTACATACATTATTTCTTTGTCAATAAGTGAAAAAATTTTTTTGTGCTTTGGGGGACAGGGTCTCACTCTGTCACGCAGGCTGGGGTGCAGAGGCATGATCATGGCTCACTGTAGCCTCAACCTCCTGGGCTCAAGCAGTCCTCCTACCTCAGCCTCCCAATTAGCTGGAACTACAGGTACACACCACCATGCCTGGCTAATGTTTTTTTTGTAGAGATGAGGTTTTGCCATGTTGTCCAAACTAATCTTGAACTCCTGAGCGCAAGTGATCTGCCTGCCTTGGTCTCCCAAAGTGCTGGGATTACAGGCGTGATCCACTGCGCCCAACCGATGAAAATATTTTAGTCACTAATCTATTCCTTTTTCACGGAACTGAATCTAGTGTGCTAAATTAAAGAACTATTTGAACTTTCAGTGGCATATTAAATTCAGTAGCCACATTGTGTTTTATTTAAACTCAGCTTATCTTGTCATATCATTCTTGTCTCCCAATTTTATCACAAAAAATAAAATAATGAACTAATATATTTTCTTCTGTCTTTCTCTGCCTCAAACCCTTCCCTAATCTGAATGATGGTAGAAAAAAAGGCCAGGATGAAGACAGTGAGGAGTTGTGGTGGCGAATCATGTGCTCTGCTTTAAATCTTTTTTTAAAAGTTGTTATTTTATTTTCAGACTCCCAGGGAAGCAGATGAGAGTGCATGGTTTGTCAGCCCATGTCTCCCCCACAGTTGTATCTGTACAGCCTAATCCAAGGAAGTAGTTTTGAATGTGACCTGTTATTTACTTCACTGTTTAGAAAATGTGTCACAGGGAGGAGGGTGAGTGTGAGGAAGCAGATTTGTAAAGTTTTCTTTATTGTTTTCTCTGAAATAGATCGTTTGTACTTCCCTTTTAAATGCTTTTTTAAAAAATGATTTTTCTTTTAATAGGTGATTATAGAGCAGTTTGTTGAATCTCATCCCAATGGCCTTCAGGTCATGTATAATAAACTCCTGGAGTTTGTTCCTCACCATTGCCGCCTTCTTCGAGAAGTCACAGGAGGTGCCATCTCCAGGTAATTTAAACAACCCTGTGTGGACCCCCACCTCCCTTTCAGTGACCGCACCTGCTAATTGCAGGTGCACGATGGACGATGACTGTCTTGTATGAACTGTCTTGTATGAATCCATTATGAATCTTGTTATTTCATTGTTTCTACTGGTGATACTGTGAGGCAGATTCCATTAGCCTCATTTCAAAGTTGTGGAAACTGAGATGAAGCTGAGACTGAAGACCACATTTCCGAATCCAAAGCCTAGCCTTTCTTCTTCTCTGCACTTTTTCCTAAATTTAGTTTGAAGTCAGAATTGCTTTCCTTCCATGATTCTAATATGTCATAATCTGTCTATAAATATTAATTCAGTTTATTTCAACAGGTTTTATACTAATTGTGAACTCATCTTCAATTTTTCCTCCTTTTGTTCAGTTTCCATGACTTCCTGATTCTCTTTCATAAATATCCCATTACTTTTCACCATTGCCATTGTCCCAGTCCAGGCCTTGTCATCTGCTGTCCACAATAATAGAATCTTCCCACCCTGTCTCCCTGCTTCCAGTCTCTCCCTCTCTAGTCTAGGCTTCTGACTGTCACATTTACCCAGAAATCTGAGATTCATAGATTTCTTCATGAATCTTTAGTGGCTTCTCAGTGCGCATGGAGGAAGATCCAGGCTTCTCGAAGCAGGGCATGAGGCCCTTTTTGTTCTTGCCTGGTAGCTCTCCACTGTAGAAACTTTCCCTCCATAGCCCTGGATGCTCCAGCCACACAGTGCTAGCTGCCTTTCCCCAGCTCCCTTGTACTCACGTGCTTCTGCGTTTTTCCTCTGCCTGCCCTCCCCTTCCTGTGCCCTTTGTTTTCCTGTCAAACTGCCTCTCCACATGAAGCTCCAGCTCAGATACCACCTCCTTCAAGAGACCATCCTTGACCGGGCGTAGTGGCTCACACCTGTGATCCCAGCACTTTGGGAGGCCAAGGCAGGTGAATCGCTTGAGGCCAGGAGTTCAAGACCAGCCTGGGCAACATGACAAAACCCCATCTTAAAAAAAAAAAAAGGCCATTTTTTCTCCTAATGTTCAGCATTCATCATGTCCTCTGGATTGCAGGATGTGTTGCTCTTGGGTCTGCTGAGTACTGATTTCCATGTTGCATTATGATCACCTCTCCGCTGCTCACACCTTCCCCTGCCTCTTGACACAGTGTCTTAGAGCTAGCAGCTGCCCAGTTAGTGCTTGCAAAATGAAAGAATTAACTATGTTTAATGATCGAAAGGCAAATAAGGTCTCTGTTTTCATGGAGCAAGCAATGTATTTGGCCTTGAGTTTTTGTTCTTTGCAGAAATATGGGGTAATTAATATGCTGCTTGGCCTTTGCAGTACCCTCTCTGTTTCCTCTGTACCACCTAAGATGAAGTCTAGTTTTGCTACTTTTGTTTAGTAATCATAAGGATTTAGTTGGATTTGGGGATAAGAACATAGTAGAAATCATGATGTAAAATGAAGCCATAGATATGAAACAATCAGCCATTAGATTTGACAGGGCCAGTCTGGGTCCAGAGATGTCAAGCTTCAAAGCTTTAGTGGATCTTTTCCACAGTTTTTAGTGTGGGGGAATTCATGTAGAAGGCTTAGAGATTTGAGGAATCTGAACTGTACCTTGCGAGATCATCATCTGCCGCTAGCCTGTCACTGTGTTGCAGGTTCTGCATATCCCTTTCCTTCCCTTGCTCGGCTCCTGGCTTCAGATTTCCAGCTTGGTGCTCCCCTTGTCACTCCTTTCTTTTATCATGTGCCACCCTTCATGAGCTTTATAACTGGCAACACCAACAACATTCGTGATTTCTCCTCCAGAGAATACAGATGAGCTTTTCTAATCCATCAACTGTTAATCTTGCAGGTTTTACATTCTCTCTTTGGGGATTTGATTAGACATTAACTTTGGGAATGAGGAAATGTTGTCATTTAATAGTGATTACATTATGTATATCTGTAGTTTGGAGTCCTCAATTTTGTGCTTTCTTTCTCTAGATACCTTAACAGAGCCTGCTCTTCCTATTATTTGGAAGTGTATAATATGATGTGTGGAATTGGATATATGGGAGGCAGTCATCTTCTTTCCCCTTCCTGGCCCTCCTCCACCCCCACCAGTAATTTCCTAACAATACTTAGGTGAAACTATAATAACATTATTTGCTAGCTCTTCCTGGACAGTGAAGCAAAGCTTCCTTGATAACTTATCTGTCTTGATAATTTTTGTTAAGCAGGAAAATTATGAAAACTTTAAAAAAATTTATTTTAATACTTACCAGAATGTTAAGTCCCGTTTTGACATGGCAACTTAGCTACAAAACTCCCAGTTTTGCTAAAATAGAACATTTATTAAATTGTTTGCCATTTTAAAAAATTACCTTGAAATAGAGCAGAATACCCAATATGAAACAAAGTGGGCAGATTAGTGAAATGGTGTTTGCCTAGAATGGATGTT
The DNA here is from genome assembly GCF_000001405.40 of Homo sapiens. Classification (NCBI taxonomy): domain Eukaryota; kingdom Metazoa; phylum Chordata; class Mammalia; order Primates; family Hominidae; genus Homo; species Homo sapiens. The sequence goes on from NC_000001.11 coordinate 230,674,107, forward strand.
TATGGATCTTTGAGTTTGTGAGCGACTTAAGGAATCTCCGTTATTTAACCGTTACTAACATAGGGCTTTTACTATATGTTAGGCACTATCCTAAGTACTTTACAAATATTAATTCTTATAATGACTTTGTGAAGTTGGTACTATGATCATCACCATTTTAAAGATGAAGAAACCAAGCACAGAGAAGTTAAATGATTTGCCCGCCCTCCAATATCTGAATCAGGCACACCAGCTCCAAAGCGCATGCTTTCTGTCAGTGCTGCCTGTCATCTACATTTGGGAATTTGGAATTTAAAAGTCTGGTGCTAAAAAAAGACAAAACAAGACAGGCACACACACAAAATAAAACATTAATCTGTTAACAGGTTTTTGTGTCAAGATTTGTGATAAGATTTCACATTTGATAGTCATAGAATTTTAGAACTGAAAGTAATCTTAGAGATAGCTTAGTAAATACAAAGCTGTTAGTAATTTATAAATTAGCATAACTTACAATGCTGTGTGGTTTAGTGGTGTTCAGTAATGTGAAGGTTATTTTTCCTGTGGTATTAGACTACTGTACTTTTTGTTTCCAAGATAGGAGTATAAAGGGGTTGGGAAGTATTTTAGAGGGAAAAGTGTACCAAGGTGATTTTATGTGGCTTCCCTTAGCCTTGACACCAGCTGGAGGAGTCAGGATCTAGGAGATTTGCCAGGTTTGAGGTGAGACTGAAATTAAGGAGTGAAATAGAAACTTGAGTCTGGAAACAAACTAAATTACAAATACGGTTTTTTTAAAAAGTTGAAATAAGTTTTAGACTGCGGATCTTTTGGCAGAAGCAACACAGTGGAAATTTGCTCTTTGTAAGTAGATTATGGTATATTTTACTGATATGTGCCCTTATTTTACAGTGAAAAAGGCAATACTGTTCCTGGATATGACTTTTTGGTGAATTCTGTTTGGCCACAAATAGTACAAGGATTAGAAGAAAAGTTACCCTCGCTTTTTAATCCTGGGAATCCCGATGCATTTCATGAGGTATCTCCCCGCCCGTCGTCTTGATTCTTGAAGATGTTAACCGGAGACTGGAGAAATATCATGTTCTCTTCTACTTAGTCTTGGTTCTGTGGTTTATTAAAAATAAAAATTTGAGTTGCTAAGTGAACATTTAACCTTAAAACACACACATCGTTTTATCCAAGATATGATGTATGATACTTTTAGGAATAAGAACATTTTCATTTTATAATATAAAGTATAATTAAGGCTAGATACAAGTGTGAGTAGAAATGTACATTATTTTCTAACTTTCTTAAAAACATCCTGAGGACCATTAAAAGCCAGTGTTTTTGCAGTTTTCTGTGAAAAATTAAGTTTGTACATCTCTGCCATATAATTTTGAATGAAAACAGAAAGTATTCACTGAATGTTTTCCAGCAGCAAGTACAAAGGAATTGGTTGGATTTTAAAATATACTACATAAATGTCCTTTATGATTTAAAAAGTTAGAAAGCCCCAATATTTATTTGTTTTTTTAATTTATATTTTATTTTATTATTACTATTACTATTTTTGAAACAGGGTCTTACTGTGTTGCCCAGGGTGGAGTGCAGTGGCACAATTATAGCTCACTGCAGTCTTCGACTCCTGGACTCAAGCGATCCTATGCCTCAGGCTGCTTCCTGAGTAGCTGGGATTTCAGGCGCACACCACCATGCCTGGTCAATTTTTCTTTTCTTTTTCTTTTTCTGTGGAGATGGGTCTCACTATGTTGCCTAGGCTAGTGTTGAACTCCTAGCCTCATGCACTCCTTCCCCCTCAACCTTCCAAAGTGCTAGGATTTCAGCCCCCATGTCCAGCCCTATTCCACCCCTGCTTCCCCCGCCCTCTTAAAAAAGAAATCATTATTTAAAAGATTTCATGGTTAGGATTTCAAAAATCAATGTGTAAGTTTGCTTTCCATTCTATCATTTTAAAGGCTCAGCCTCTTGGCACTTTTCTTCCTTCTTCTTCCCTGGATTTCAGTTTTTGGTTTCTTATGCAGTGAGATAATCTTTGTCTTTTAATTAGGTACTTTATTAAATTTACAGTGATTCTAACTGTCAATGCATTTGACTCTTATTTTATACTTTCTCTTTGTTCCAGTTTTCTTCCCTTATTTCCTTCCTCCCATCTTTTCTTCCTCCCTTCTTTTTTCACCTTCTTCGTATTTTAGACTTCTGGGGATCTGTTTTCCATCTTTATTCCATTTTGTCCCCTCTACTAATTTGGAAGTTGTGCCCTTTATTTCTGTACATATTGAGTAACCTTACTGGTTACTTAATGGAATCTAAAGTTGATTTATGTTCTCGAGCCTTCTCCTGGACAATACGCGGAACTTAGAACACATTAACACCAACCATCCCTTCTCATAGTATATATTTTTGTTTCCTCGCTCGTACTTCTATTACGTTTTTTTTAAAATCTTAAAAACTGGTCATTTTTATTGTTTTAAATCATCATCGTCCTCTGGGAATTACCCTACATGTTTGTCATTGCTTACTGTTCATTTTTGAATGTCAGCTCATCCTTCTTGAATCATTCTTCTGAAATTCATGTTAGAAGACTTTTTAGTCTTCTAACTGTTGATGATAATTTATTTTTTTAATAATTTCTCAGTTTGTGTTTGTCTGAAAATAACTGTATTGCTTCTGTTTGTAAGGTCAGTTTGCTGGATGTATTAACAGAATTCTCAGCACTTTGAGTGTTGTCTTTTGAGTTGCATTATTAAGTTAGCCGTTAATTTAATTGTTATTTCTTTGTAGTTAATGCCTTTTTTCTCTGGCTGCTTTTAAGATCTTCTGTGTGACTTTGGTGTGCTAAGTAAGTTCTGCTATGATATGTCCAGTAGAACTTCTTTTTTTATTATTATCCTTAGGATTTGATAGGTTTTCTGAATCTGAGAATTGGTATCTTTCATCCATTCTGGAACATTTTTATATATTATTTCTTCAATTGTGCTTTTCTTTCATTCCTCTATCATCTCCATCTAGATCTCTTGTTTAGACAGGCTCACCCTATCCTCTGTATTTGCTGCATTCTCGATAATTTCACAGTCTGTCTTCTAGGTCACTAATTCCTTCTTTAGTTGTGTCTAAACTCTTTTCCACCTGCACATTGAGTTTCTGGTTAATTATCATATTTTTTTATTTCTAGAAGTCATATTTGTTGTTTGTCTAGCCTCCCTGGCGAATTTGTTTATTAATTTTTTAAGTGTAGAGAGGCACAAGATAAGCATAAACAGACAGCCTGGGGCCCAGCAGGTTTCCCACAGATAAGACAACACATTGGGAGGTTTACCATTCCAGAAATGCAACTTACCTTATCTGTTGGCTGATTGTCCCATGTTACAGTGCATTGAATAACAGGATTGTGCCATTTTCAATAAATTTTATAGCAACATTTGTAATTTTAAAAAGTAGGGCTTTTTAAATAAGATAGCATAAGGAGAGTGAAATAATGGCTTTAAGCAGAAGCAATTGTAAGCTTTAAGCACTAGCAAATGTGAAGACGCTTTACAATTTGCTGTGTGCTTTAGAGACTCGTATTGACCATGTTTGACTCAGGAAATGTTTCAGCTCAGAAATGAACCTTTCTGATAGAACTTGACTTTAGAATTTTAGGCTAATACTTAACATTTGTGAGTATAGTTTCCAGCAGATAGTATCCATTTATTTCCAGAAATACTTTCAGCTTTAAGCCTTAATGTAATGTGTTTCTTGTAAGAGGGCAATATCTTTATATTTGTTTTAGCATCCATTATATGCAGAGGTATAGTTTTGTCCCAAAAGGGAAGAATAATCCCTATTTTTGTCTCAACTCCACACACCTAGACCACCCTCTGGGATAACATAAGTTTGCCCAAAACCATTTGAAATAAATTTAAAGCCTGTAGTTTTTACTACTGTAAGATCCTTTCTAAGCACAGACTTTAGCATATTTAGATTAATGGTTTGATGACCCTGGATTGAGCCCCTTTTAATTGAGAAGAACATAAAAAATTCAACAGTGTTCTTAGAGCCTGGGGGCTTCGGGAATAAAGTACCCACAAAAGCAACATGCAGCCGCAGTTTTGGTCAACTGACTGACTAGCATTCTGCTTCCTCTACCGCCTGGCTTGTCTTTTGAGCAGGTTCTCTGTGAGCCTCAACAGAAGAAGAAGCATCATTTGTAAAATGGGGATGATGATGATGATGATGATGGTAGTTGCCCTGTGGGGTCGTTTTGTGGGTTAAATTAAATAAGACAATTCTAATCACAGTGTGTCGATGATAAATGCTACGAGTTAGCTGCCACTCTTAATGGTTTTGGTACATCTCCCTGTCAGTTTTCATGCTATCTTATTTATAAAAATGAAGTGAATACTCACATGGTTTGATTCTTTCTCTTCTCTCTCTTTCTTCTTCAGAATTTTCTCCTTCTTTCTCCTTTGTGAGGCAATGACGAACTATGTCATTTAATCTGCTGTCAATTCTAATTCCAGTGGGCTGGGGTAGGGGGCCCTAGAACATGAGCACTGCCATTTAAAGAGCACCAGACTTAGAGTGCCTGGGTCTCAGATGGGCTTTGCCATGGAAGACACGGAAGACATATCACAGAACCACTTTGGGCATTTATGTATCTTTAAATGGGGACATTGGAAGAAAGATCTTGTAAGTTCCTTGTTAACTCTAGAAACTGTGATTCTTACGTGTTGAGCTTCTTTATCTTGATTACAGTTTTCAGTACATGCTCCCTGTTCTAGTTAGTGTTCTAATAATGAAAATTTTCCTTTTGTTTTATTTTAGAAATATACCATAAGTATGGATTTTGTCAGAAGATTGGAACGGCAGTGTGGATCACAGGCTAGTGTAAAGAGATTAAGAGCCCATCCTGCCTATCACAGCTTCAATAAGAAGTGGAACTTGCCTGTTTATTTTCAAATAAGGTTGGTCATCTATTCACCGCCCCCGCCCCGCACCCTTCTAAAACAGAATTGGAATGCCAGTTAAGGATGTTGCCTCAGTTAGCGGCTCCTTTTCTCTGATCATCATAATAAGCTTTGGGAGACAAAATTGAAAGTGGAGAAAGAGATATAAGAAGTATTATGGTTGCCAAAGTCTGGCTTGCATGACAAAAAGATAAGTTTTCTTTTTTGGTAATTGGAGAGCTCAGAACACAAGAGTTGGAAGGAGCTGACTCCAAGCCCAGCCTCATTCCCACCCACCATGTCCTCATTCATTGTGAAAAGAGAAAGTAGGAGTTATACAGCAGCTCTTTTTTTCCATTTTCCCTATTTCATCGTCTGCCTCAAATAATGAACCTGTCTCACATCTGTTTTTGCTCGTCTGAGATACTTTTCCCCTAGAGGGAATGGGGAGAAGCAGAGCTTTAAGTGTTCTTTGCAGCTGGTTCCATCTATTAGTTTATGAGAAGCCTGGTCATTATTTCAGCCTCCCTGATCGTCTTTGTGACATTTGTACCCTCTATTCAGGAAAATGGTGACATTTTTCTTCCAGGTTTCATGATGATATCACCTTTGTCAATAAGCCATTCTATAAAATACTTGGGGGAAATTTAGGATGAACCCTTATCATACACTGCATTGGAAAAACATGATAAGAGTCATTTTTGCAGATTCTCTTGAATGAGGTCATGGTATGTTCTTCCGTAGAATGGATTTTACTTGAAATGCTCTTTGAAGAATCATAGGCTTTTTTATTTAAATTGCTGGATGCTTTCATTAATTATGATGCAGTCCTTTCCCCTAGCGTTCTGAGGAATAATTACAGAGAGGGAAATCAAGAATTAGGTACCCTGATGATAATTGCTTGAGATGATTGAGAATGTATGTAATGATCTTTTTATAATGAAATCACAGTTCTCAGAATGAAGTAGTAAGGTGCCCTTTCACTTACAATACTGTGTTTTATGCTAAATTTTCCAAGGTTGCATCATCATGTAGTTGGTCTCTCAGCAGGAAATTACGGATTTGTTCATCTAAGATATTAATGGGATGCACTGGAAATAGTTGGTATATGATAATCAACATCAAGCCAGGGCAAGAAACCTTTTTGATTTGTGAGCAGGATTTAAAATAGCAAAGCATCATTTTATAAAATGATACTGCTATGTAGAAATAATGTTTACATTTCCCCATCTCTTTTTGTCGTCCAGGTTTGGAGTTAGATTGCTTTAGTTATCTAATGCTGTCACCTCACAAACATACTCCTCTGCTTCCTGCCTCCAAACTTTCCTGGTCCTTTTCCTCAGACCCTGGGACCCATGCAGCATCACCTCACTCTTCCATCCCACCCCTGCACCTCCTGGAGCTCCCATGGGCTATTTCAGCCCATGCTCTTGGCTCTGCCAGGCTGGGCCCCTTGGTGACGGCCCAGCTTGGCTTCAGCTGCATCTCCCTTCCATTTCAGTTTCTCTCAAAGCTGGTAATTGGACCTTAAACTACATTGAAACTCAGCCAGTTCCCTGAAAGTCTTTTTTACCTTCACCAGATTTCAGCCTTAAGCCTTCAAAGGAGCTGATTAGCCTTTTTTAAAAAACCTCTTTTATTTAAAATTCATGAAATTTTAAAAAAACACGTTTGAGTTACGGAAGTGTAGAACTTGTCTTTAGTACATTTGTTTTTCCATCTAAAAAGTAAATTCCATTAAGACTTTGTAGAACTTTTCTATTGATTTTTATCAGGTGTTGAGTTGTTTGCTCTGAAGGATGACAAAAAGTTCCGCAAACATGATTAGGGTCAGAGTTGCATTGTCATCAGATTCATTTCAAGGTCATTTGAAGTAAACCTAAAGACAGTGGGGTGTGATGGTTGGACATTTCCTAAGAAGAAATATTACTCTCAGTAATAGTTTTCTGCTCCTGGATCTGACTATATACCCACATCCCAATCACCTTCAGGAAAAAGGCCACCTCCCCACCCCAGCCACCACCACAATTCTTGTGAACACATTTTGTATCCTCTCACTCTTCCTGAGACCCCACTGTGTCTACATTTCATTTGCACCTACAGGCATATTGGAAAGTAGATGAGGACTTAGTATCTCATAGGAAGAAATTAAATGCAGATGTGATCAAAACAGCCCCAAATTATAATGAGTCAGTGGCTGCCTGGAAACTGCAGGTGTTAGCTCTTTAAATGCTAAAGCCTAAATTTCAGTTTGCTGTTCTTTTTAAAATTGAAATCTTTATAGTACATTCACATGTATATACTGTATTACATAGTATATGCTGAACACAGTCTTATGATGTGGAATCTACATAGTAGTATTAAGGTGCAAGTAGCCCTTTCCTGTTCCTGCACTCCTCTCAGACATGTGTATCCACAAGAGACGGGTGCACTTAATGATGTTTCCAATACTTCAGAGAAAAAAAACAATAGGCATCACTATTATTATCGCCATTGTTATTTTTATTTAAGTATTATTGTAGACCTGTGATGTTCGTGGAGGAATATGTCTAGAGACCTTCCCCAGGCCTATATTTAAGAATTTAGAAATGTTTGTATTTGGGGTTGCCCTTCTTACATGGATCCTGTTGAGAGTAGAATGACATTCGATGTGCACATGAAAACCACAGCATGGCTTTTCAGATTTCAGCAGAGGTTCCCTCTCACTTTTGGCCATTTTCCAAGAAGAAATATGATCTGTTGCTTCATTCCTGGAAGTGACTGCACAGCAGAGCTGTGTGAGGGGCTGGTCCCCTGGCTGGGGAGCACACCTAGGCCAAGTGACTCAGGCAGTTGTAATCATGTATCACTGTCCCTGCTCACAGACAGGCAGAACGTCTCTGTGAAGTGCAGGGATCAAGGCTCTGCTGCATTTCTTTGGTCCTTTTTCATTTCTATGCTTTTCAGAATTATCATAAATATACATAAAACTTTGTGTCCCATGTCTTTGGATAGTACTAAATTATACCTATTTTTCCTTATTGGAAAATAGCATCAAGCTTCCACATTAATACTGCATACTAGTCCATTGAATATATCTCAGGTTCCATAAGCATATTCCTTCTTTTGGCCATTTAGGTTGCTTCCAGTTTTTCCCTGATATAAACAGTGCTGTGCCAGCTATCAGGCCTTTTCTGTATCAGGGCTAACTTCCTATATTTTGTTTAGATTTTGAAAAAAGGCAGGACTTGGGGGTCTGAGATTGAGCTCTAGGTGCTGGTTTGCTCTCCCAGGTGCAGAGCAATCCCATCTCCCTTGTTCCCGTGCTCAGTGTCACTGCCTCCTCTTACTGCTGTTCCTGGGCTAGTTTCCAGTGCTCTCTTATCCCACTTTTCCATCTGTCACTTGTTCCTTCTGTACCTCTCAACTGCAGCTTGAAAAGACTAGCCTTTTGTAAGCTTCACTGGGCAATTAGAGTTCCTTTCCTTCCATGGGGCAGACGGGACAGCTACTGGAAACCAGCCAGCTACAATGGTACAGGATAGCCTTAGTGTCTTCAGTGCTCAGCTGTGTTGGGTAGGGCTGCTGCTTTTTGTCTCAAGCTGTTCTTTTTACTCTTCAGACAGTTGCCTTTAGCTCAGTCTGTGAACCGCTTTGTAAAAGCACATTATGTACTATAAAAAATAATTTAATATCAGTTGGATAAATTGATATTGAGCATGCATCAGAATTCATTACTAGTAAGGCAATTAGCAGGTGACAAAAGAGCATGCTAGTAAAGAGATATATGAAATTGCAAGAGTTATATAGTTAGAAAACAATGCCTGCAAAAGCAGCTAGCTTAAAAAAACTATATAACACATTTGCCTTTCACAAAGTCATAAAAACATGTCCATATCCATTATTAGAACAGAAGTCTGTGACAGGATGAGCTGAGGTGCCAGGTGAGCCAGCTGTCATCAGGGAAAAAAGAACGCACATCTAGGAAGCGCTGGTACAGACAGCCGTAGAACCCGAAGGGCAAGTACCATGGACGTGGGAGAGGGTCACAGATTAGAAGAGCACCAAGCAGTGAGTTCTAGTTTTAACTGGCCACTTCCTGTGATTTTTCTCAAGCTGCCAACACAGGTACAGAATGCAGCTTTCTTAGCTTGGGGACGTTTACCTTCCTGTGATGGTGTTAAGATAGATGGGTTGGAGGAACCAAAGTTTTATGGCCTTGAAGTGAATAGAGGATCATAATCAGGTGCTGCTCACCAGCAACAACTTCTTGATGGAGACTTAACTGGCAGTTTGTTTAATTTGAGAAACATGGGGTAAGTTATGATTCAGACCAGCTGCAAATAACAGAGAACCCTTATATAACAGTGGCTTAGTCACGATTTCTTGTTCAGTTAAAAAAAAAAAAAAAAAAAAGCCTGGGAGAATAGGCATTCCGAGGCTGGACTTACCAGTGAGTGACAGAGGAAGTTCCTGTTACTTAGGAAAAACAGAGAATGGATAGGGAAAGGCATCTGTCAGAGTCATAAACATTAATTCTTCTTCTTGTTTTTATCTCAGATTTAGAGAAATAGCGGGATCCTTAGAAGCAGCACTTACAGATGTCCTGGAAGATGCCCCAGGTAACTCCCTTAAAGTGATAAGTGGCATGGTATCCTAAATGAGTTCATTCAGTTCACCAAGTCATCTGGATTGCAGTATTCTGAGCGTACTTTTACTGTTTTTTTTTTTTAATCATACAGTAAGTTGGACCTTAAAAATCACTTAGTTTGACTTCTTTTTTTTGCTTTTTTTTTGAGATGGAGTCTCGCTGTGTTGCCCAGGCTGGAGTGCAATGGCATGATCTTGGCTCACTGCAGCCCCCGCCTCCCAGGTTCAAGCTATTCTCCTGGCTTAGCCTCGAAAGTAGCTGGGATTACAGGTGTACACCACCACGCCTAGTTAATTTTTTTATTTTTAGCAGAGACAGGGTTTCACCATGTTGGCCAGGCTGGTCTCGAACTCTGACCTCAAGTGATTCACCCCCCCTTGGCCTTCCAGAGTGCTGGGATTACAGGCATGAGCCACCACACCCAGCCTGACTTCTTTTTTTAATAAGGTAAAAATAAACCAAATAGTTTTGGTGTATAGAGTTCTTGCTTTATAGAGATGAAAAATGAATAAGAATATAGGAAACAGACCTCATTTTCATTCCTGAATATAACTTGTCCAGGGGATATGGCCCCTTGGTGTGCTTATGTGAACAGCTGGTTTTTTTTAGCAAATTGGCTGTGATCTGCCTTCCTCCCAGGCTGAGGACTGGTCTGCATGGTAGAGGGTCAGGTGCTCCTGCGTCTCACTGAGAATGACTCACAGCTGGAGCATGCATCCTGGGCCTCCTGTGCCCTGGCCGCCCATCCTAGGATGTTGGGCAGGTAACAGTTGTAGGTATGTGGACTTACCAGTACATGTTGACATACCCTTTCAGCCTCATTAATTTTTGTATCATATATTTATTCCTAGTGACCACTGAAATACTGTGTGCTGATATCTAGGTTCCTCAACTTAAATTTCCACTCTCTTTTATACAGCTAAGTCTACTGTCATTTTGAATCAATTTTAGCCTCAGAGTTAGTTTTCATCTGTCTTTGCCAAAAATGGTCATATGTAGTTAACTTCTTCTATAAAAATAAGAAGTATGTTGAGATAGAGGAAGACTCTTGTGAAATAGGACAAATTTGAAACTGAAGTTTAAACCTCTGCAAGTGATTGCCACTCCAGCCCATGTTTGTCGATTTGGTATGAAGTACCTATTAAACGTTATTTCTGAATGCTATATGTATTTGATGTTTATCCAAACACCTGGGAGATAGTGTCATGTAAAATTGTGCGTGGCATGAAGGATGTGGTAGGGAACTTGGATTGTGGCCACTCGTCATCCCTGTGCCTCCAACAGCTTTGCTGACCACATGGTTTTCTTCAGAAGGCCATTTTCTTTACCTTTGAATCGTACATCGGAAGTCTCACATTAGACTATAGCCTAAAATTGCCTGAAATTCCTTAAATGTGTGTTGTTGTTGTTTTTTCTCTAGCTGAAAGTCCGTATTGCCTTTTGGCTTCTCATAGAACTTGGAGCAGCCTTAGGAGGTGTTGGTCAGATGAGATGTTCTTGCCATTACTGGTGCATCGCCTGTGGAGACTCACTCTGCAGATTTTGGCACGATACTCTGTGTTTGTCAATGAGGTAAGGGCTGGCTGTGGAGCTCATCCATAATCAATACTGATAAAAATTAAAGATATGTTAGGCTAACTCCCTAAGATTTTTGTAAATACCATGAGAGGTTAATTCAGAGGACCACAGTAGTCTGACTTCCCAAGATTGTCTCCAGCTCTGTGTCTGTGTTTCATTTTTACTCCTGCGAGCATTGCATTTAGGGGTGTCTATTATCACAAACTTATTTTGTTGAAAAGCACCACTCTGGCAAGTCCATTTTTTTCCTTCTCAAAACCAGAATCTTTGAACTGCCTCCAAATTTAAAAAAAGAAAAAGATGTTCATTTTAATTTCAAGGTGATTATGAAAATGATTAGAAATAAAAATATATGCATTTTAATACTTAATATTTGGAAGTTTACAAAATGATATTGTCATCAACATAAAAAGGTATTAAAATTCTTTTTTTGAATATCCTTTTCCCTTTTCAAATAATCAAATATATTAAATATCCACATGCTCTGATGACTTATTAATACCCTACAAAAACCCAGAAATTCTTGATCCACAAGGGCGTTGGTCCAGTCCTGTGCTGAGCACCAGCCCGGCGGGTCCTTGCTGGGACCTCGGATTGCAGTGCTGCCCTTTCTCTGGGGACAGCGTGAGTAACAGACACTCAGGTAAACCAGTCATCGCAGTGTGAGGAGTATGCAAAGGAGATGTGTTCTAAAAAATAAAAAAGACAACAGGGAGAAAACAGCACACTTTGAGTAAAATCTTTGTAATTTGGAGTAGGAAAGGATCCCAGTCATCCTCTTGCAGTGTATTTTAATGGAAAGAGTGTCAGCTTTGGAGCTAATGTCAAACGTTGGCTCTTTAACTTTTTAATTCTGTGGACCTGGAGAAATTAAGCTGAGTCTTCATCTGGAGAATGGGAAAACAGCTTCTATATGTGGCTGTTGTGAGGATTTATTTGGACTAAAGCTCCTGTCAGGTAATGGGAGTCTAGTGAAATCTAGTTTGTGTTTCCCTTTTGCCTTTCCTCCGCTCAGAAGGGTCTTAGTGGACCACCCTGGGCTGTCAGCTGTTTCTGAAGACCACTGTATGATTCCCCTGACAGAGTGGGGTTAGGACGATTATTCAATTAGGCTAAGCATGCGTTCTTGCTAGCCAGGAATTCTCCGTTTATCTCTAGTAGATCACTTTGCCCTGAATGTTCATTATCCCATTCTATCCCATTCTTTTCTTGATGCTAGCTTACTTCTCTTTGATTTTTTTCCCTTATAAACAATGTGACACAAAGAACACTTTGTTTTTTGTATTTGAAGGTTTGGATTTTGATATTTTACCCTTGTTAATTATAATTACAAATGTATTACGCTATGTTATTTGCCTAATATAATTGATTTTTTTAAAACCTGTGATGTCCCCAAAATTAATTTTATTGTGGTTTGGGCACTTTATTTTTCACGTTATTTTTATCACCAGAAATTAGACAAGTTCCAGAAGGTAAATGTACCTGGGGCCGTAGTTTGTCCTTGTTTCTCTCTTAGTGCTTCACTCCTTCCTGTAGATACAATATTGTATACTTTTATTAGTAAGTTTTTACTAAATGCTATGTAGACAGCTAGCATTTAATGGTGAGTTATTGACGCGCACATATGTAATATATAAATGCTCATGTATCTTGCTAGTGTGAAAGTAGTTAATCAGTGAAATCCTTTTTCAGCTTTCACTCAGGCCCATTTCTAATGAAAGTCCCAAGGAGATCAAGAAACCTTTGGTAACTGGTAGCAAAGAACCTTCCATCACCCAAGGAAACACTGAAGACCAAGGAAGTGGTCCTTCGGAAACAAAGCCTGTGGTTTCCATTTCCCGCACTCAGCTCGTGTATGTGGTTGCAGACCTGGACAAGCTTCAGGAGCAGGTAAGCCTGTGTCCCAGAATAATTCCAGGTGCTTGGTTTAATGTTTTCACAGAAGGTAGTATGTGTAAAAGGCAAACACCACTGGGCCTTACGGGGCTTAAATTGGGGGACCCGTGGGTACCCCAAGAGAGAACCTCTCACTCACCTCCCTTTCTAGGTGTCTCTCCAGCTTCCCCTGACAGGTCATGTCCATATAGGGTTTCTAAGGGTGTGCACTTCTCCTCCTGTGTGGAGTGCATTCTGTATTGTATTCACCTCCACCCTGCTTCCTTTTCAGTAGTGATGGGACAAGCTTGAGCAGCCATGCTCCCCCACTTTTTTTTTCCCATTAGCTCACCTTATTCTGGTCAGGCATGATCTTTAGTGGGCTGGATTTTAGTTACTTTACATTAATTTACCCCGATATTTTCTGTTGATGTTTAATCTTCAGCTATACTTTGAAAGTGCTAAAATATTAAAACTTCTTCCTCTTTTTTCTCTGTATAGATCCGTATGTTTTTGCTTGTAACATCAACTCTGTGGGGTGAATTTAGTGGTTAAGTCCTCTGATACACAATTCTGCTTTCCTCAAGTTTAGATATTTTGTGGTGCTTGAATAAATACTGTTTTGAATTTTAAAATTTGTATGTTTTCAGTAAGAATATGGTCTTTACTGTGAGCTATTTTCGTATTATGGAGCGCCATAGAGTAGAAAATGTTTTTGCTTATTCTCTGTGCCTGTTAATAGCCATTAAACCATGTGATTTCTCATGTTGTTGAAATCTTTTTATAGTAAAAGCATTAAAACTGTTTCTTTCCTTTGATGAAAATTACTGAAATTCCTGATTTTAAGTTCACCATTCATTAGCAAATTCTAGAGTTTGTAGATGCAAATAGAATTGCCTCTTCCTTTGATTTATAAAAAGTAACTGAATATATAAAGTGCATATTTATTTCAGCTTCCAGAACTCTTGGAAATAATCAAGCCAAAACTTGAAATGATTGGCTTTAAGAATTTTTCTTCTATCTCAGGTAAAAATGAATCTTGACTAAGCAAATCTTTGAATAAGAAATGATTTAAAATAAAATCTCAGAGACTGTAGGGTATATTTAACATTTTCTTCTGTAGTTGTAAATCCTTGGTTGTTTCTCTATTCTGTATTATAACTTACCTAAATAAGATGTTTTATTTAATTCATTTGATCTGATTTATTATAGTACACAATGTAAATGCTGTGACAGTATTTCAAATGAAGTTCATGTCTGGGCCTGAGCATGATGATTAAATCCAGTCTTTAATCTCAACAGCAGCCCTGGAGGACTCCCAGAGCTCTTTTTCAGCCTGTGTGCCCTCCTTGAGTAGCAAGATCATCCAGGATTTAAGTGACTCTTGCTTCGGTTTCCTAAAAAGCGCCCTGGAGGTTCCCAGGCTTTACCGAAGAACCAATAAGGTCAGCGCCATTTATGGGAGAGAATTTTGAGGTGGGGAAGTGTGTGTTAGGAAAGCCAAAGAGGAAGGAAGGAAGGAAGCGGCGGATTCCCAGGGTAGCCTGAGACAGACTGAGCTCATCCCATTCTGAGAATGGTATTGATGAAGAGAGGGAGGTTGGGCAGGGGTGGTCAGGGGCTCTGGGCCACAAACTGAAATAGTTAGACCTTTCCCATCCTATCCTAAAAGTATTTAAGGATATACTCAGTTTCCTTTTGGTCTTGAGGAAAAGTAGGTTTTTCAGAAGAAAGCATTTTAATAACATTTTAAAGTCCTATACGTTTTTGTCTCCATATCAGGTATTCCACACTTTATATCTTGTTCCCTCTTTATTGTTACTGGAAGCATAGTTGGCCCCTTATCCCCAGGTTCTGCATCCACAGAGTCAACCAACTGTGGATCGAAAATATTTAGGGGGAAAAAAAACTACAACAATAAAAAATAATACATGCCAAATGTGGTGGCTCACACCAAAATCCCAGCATTTTGGGAAGCCGAGGCAGGAGGATTGCTTAAACCTAGGAGTTTGAGACCAGCCTGGGCAATGTCGTGACATCCAGTCTCCACACACAAAAAAAGTTTTTATTAAAAAAAATATAAATTTTAGTAATCTAAAGATGATTTAAACTATACTGAAGGATGTGCATAGGTTATATGCAAATATTATGCCATTTTATATTTGCTCAATAATTATTGTCTGATTTGAAGCTGCCACTTGGAAGTGGGAGAGAGAAACCAATATGTTATTTTTCTTTAGTAATCTACCAACTCTCCCTTTCTATTCAATAGGCTGTTACAGTAATACATTTACTGAGAGTTTGTTATGGGTCATTCACTCTGCTAGACACTTTGCATAGTCTTATTATCCTCCTACAAAATGGGTGCTAGTATTGTCATTTGCAGATGAAGAAACCAGAGCTAAGAAAGGTTACATTCCTGACCCTGTATCCTTGCTTCTCAAACAGTGGTCTAGTGATCAGCAGCATTCACATCACCTTGTGGGTGGGAGCTTGCTAGAAAAGCACAATCCCAGAACTCAACCCTTCCACCCACTGCCCCCAACAGAATTAGAACCTGAGTTTTACGAGATCACCAGGTGATTGGTGTGGACGTGAGGCCACGGGAAGCAGTGCCCTAGTTTCGGTGCCCTGAGCGGTGGGTGGCTGTGCCAGCCAGCACCTCAACCCAGTCTGGCTCCAGACATCACCTTCTTGTGCTGGCTCTTCTTATTCCCTCATGTTCTCCAGGCAGCTTTCTGTGGACCCCAGTGTTACTTTTGGGAGGGATGGAAGTTGTCCGTGTCTCAAAACTAGAACGTTAATAGTATCCTTTTGGACTTGAGTTCTGGGTAACTTACTGTTTCTTTTCTGTTTTTTTCCTGTGCATCTTTATCTCCTACCATCATCATTCCAGGAGGTCCCAACCACAGCTTCCTCCTATGTGGACAGTGCTCTGAAGCCCTTATTCCAGCTTCAGAGCGGACACAAGGATAAGCTCAAACAAGCAATAATTCAGCAGTGGCTAGAAGGCACTCTCAGTGAAAGCACTCATAAGTAAGTAAATTAAAAGCAGACCTTGTGGGCCTTGCTTAGAAGAGTCTGCGGCAGAAACCCCCAAGGCAATCAAGCACTGCGTATGGATAAGGCAGTGAGACTGCCTAGCACTTCTTCACTGGATTAGTCAGAGTGTGTGTCCCACTGTTTGCTTCCTCCCTCCCCACACCCTTGTGGACGGCCTGTGGGCTGGCTTCCTCTGCCTGGGCTTCAGCCTCGGGGCCGGGCCATGTGCACAGTGCCCCCGCATCTCCAGGCCCTGCCTGCGTTCCCTGCAGGTGCCGTTCTCCCAGGTCCAGCCACATTCTTCTGGGAGGCCCTTTCGTTACTCAGACCCTGTCAGTCCAAAGTGGCTCTAATCATAACAGATACTCAAAGGACTTAGGTTGGTGAAACCCTTGTAATCAAGGAAGAGAAAACATACATTTAAAAGTAATTACAGCTGACAAGGACTCGATTCCTAAAACCTCTAAAACACTTGATTGTCTTTTTCTAATGAAATTTGCTTTTCCCAAATCAAAAAGTGTGTTACTCAATTTTGTTACCAATTTTGTTTAATTATTAAATATTAATTTTGCAGTAATATTTTATTTACTTAAGATTTAAGTGGCCATTTATGGGTTAATTTAGAACATAACAATGATGTATAATACAGTTTTTGTGGGCAAATGTATTTCAGATGCCAAGTAACCAGCTTGTAGACAAAGCTTTGAAATATAACTCATTTATAATTTGAAAATTATATTGCAAGTATTTTGAAGGCAATGAGCTTTATTTAAAATTCTGAAATACTTTTACACTCTAAAAGATGAACTGTTCCTAGAACTGATTGGAAATGAACTTGTTACTTGATCTGGGGCATGAACTACAGATGTCCACCCTCGATACATGAAAGACAAAATTGGTCTATAGTTTTCTCCATGTTCAGGATTAAAAATTTAAGCAAAATCCACACACACACATATTTCTTAAATTCTGAGGGAATGCTATGTTAGACACTTAAGACCATATGTGTGTGTGTGTATATATATATACGTATATACATGTATATATATACACATATATATATAAAATGATCTTAAGAAACTTAAATACTTACCGTGGTTGAATTTTCGTTGGAAGTGAATTTTTATCTTAAAAATCTCTTTTTTTGGTCCACAAAGCCAGTTACTCTATTTGGTGTTACACACAAATGCCTCTTTTCACCAATAAACGTGTCTTCTATTCAAGGTACTATGAAACCGTGTCAGATGTATTAAACTCTGTGAAGAAGATGGAAGAGAGCCTGAAAAGGCTGAAACAAGCCAGAAAAACCACTCCCGCCAACCCCGTCGGTCCCAGTGGTGGCATGAGCGACGACGACAAAATCAGGCTGCAGTTGGCCCTAGATGTTGAGTACTTGGGAGAGCAGGTAACCCATCAGCCGCCGGCAGCTCCAGCGAGCCTGAAACCAAATTCTGAGAGCCGGGCAGTTACTTGGTGGCTCGCGTGATCCCAGAGATGCTGTCGCAGTGGCTAGGGAATTGCTTCCTGTGTTAAGACTAGGAGTCGGGGCTCCCAAATTACTTTGCCCCTAGGCAGTATGAGACGGCAATATGAGAATTCCCGTTTTGAAGTCTGGTGGCGTGCTCTCTGGTGCTGTTGCCATCTGCTTGTTTCCCCAGTGCCCATGCTCACGGAGCTCACTACAGTGAGACTTTTTGGTCCAGTGCCTGATACTTAATTGGTGCGAACCCCAGGCTTTTGAAATGCTTGCTGGTTTAGCTTAAAATAACTGAAAGCATTACCCCTCTATGGTGCATGAGAAATCCTTTGAGCATAACTTCTCTGCTTCCCTGCTTGGCCTTTGTAGCTTTCCTATAAAACACAAATTTTAGAATCATGGCACGTAGTTGAATGGTAATGTGGATATTATCACTTAAGAGGTGATATGGATAAGGTGCAATGAATGTCTTTTCATTTTTCACTGAGGTGAAAATGAAATTTCACCATAAAATGAAATTTTATGATACTGTGAGGACAGTATCATAAAACCTCTAGATGTTCAGAAACTGGCCTTCTAAACTGTTAAAGCGTCGCACATAGTAGTAGGTCCTCAAGGGAGGCCTTTCCACAGGGAAAAAAAGTGAAATCATAAAGTTTCCACAAGAGGACACTTGGTGGTGTTTTGGAGAACTGATACAATGTTAATAGAAAAAGAAAAAAAAAAAAGCAGTCAAAACAAGACACTTGATTTTCTAGCTCACTAAGGAATTTCTTTTACACATCATGATCATCACTGAAAATTCAACTTTTTTCTGCTTTGAGATGAATTTAGAGATATATCCCGGTAAAAGTCAACTGCCATGTTTCTTTATTTGGCAAAAAAACCCAAAGACTTTTTACAAGCAAGAAAGTATGTTATAGAAACGTGAAGAGCCAATGAGCAAAAGAAAGGGAAGGAAGGAAGGAGAGTGGGATAGGGAACTAAAAGGAAAGAGAGGGGAAGGAAAAGGTGCTCCCGCAGTCTCGGTCCCCAGAACAAACCACAAAATGCTGACAGAGACTTGGTGTGTATCTTCCCGGATCTTTCTCTGTGCGTGTGTGTGGTGCGTGTGTGTGTGTGCGTGTATGGATGTATACGTGTGTGTGTGTTGTTATTGTCGTTTTTAAACAAAAGTGGGAACGTAGTGTGCCATGTCTCGGTGACCAAAATAATCCACGGTAGTTGCTTTGCCAAACAAAGTGTTTTCAACTCATCTGATTCTAAAAGGTTTTTGGCAATATGTTAAGAAACTAAGAGCACAGACCAGTACTTTTTTGAAAATTCTCTACTTAAAAGTTCACTTTTTTATTTCCTCTAGTGTGGATTTTCTTTTCTAGAATGTTTTTAGGCCCACAAAAGAGGCTTTTATTCTGTCTGATTTGATGAACTGAGATAAATTAACATACTGGCTTCTTAGAATGCTAAGTGTTTGACCCCAAAATCCTCACATTTTACAACAAGTAAATCCTTTGCTCTAGAGGAAAAAATATCCTACAAGTCTTCAGGGAACTGTCTTCTGGTTTAGTAGAGGATGAAGATTTTCTTTCTTTTTTTTCCCCCCCCATATTCAGCTTGAATTGCAGTAACATAATTCATTCTCATGGCCTTTGCAGATACAAAAGTTGGGACTACAAGCAAGTGACATAAAAAGCTTCTCAGCTCTCGCAGAGCTTGTTGCTGCTGCCAAGGACCAGGCAACAGCAGAGCAGCCTTAAGCATCTTGGAAGATCCCGAGGTTAGATTCTTAAGCAAGAGAAGAGTTGGACTTCCAGGCTGAAGGGGAGAAAGTGACTCTGTTCTCTTAGCAACCGTCTGTAGCAAAGAAGTGCTTCCAGCATCACTCCAGCAACACGCCCATGCGTCTTCTCTCAGCGTATTTGGGTCTTCTTTGCCCAAAAGAACACAAAAGCCTTTTTCCATTGTATGGAAGATAGTTTTTAAGACATTTGAAACTTTCTACTATAGTTTACAGAACAAATTATTTTATTTTTATTGTAAATCTTAGTGTGGAAGAGCTGATTTCTAAAATATGATTAAAGTAAATATATACCTATGAATATCAAGAGTCGTCTCCCTGAGCCTGTAGTTGGAAGTGACGACTGTAATGGAATGATGTCTTGTATAGAAATGCCCTTCTCTGAAATAAAGAGAACTCCTGGGCTTTCTAAAGAGGCTGCGGGAAGCCATCCTCCACTCCCACTGTGTGTGAGAGCAGTGCTTCTGATCCTGCTGTCACCCCGACCTCTGGCAGGAGCCGGCGCCAGTAGGAAAGACCTCCTTCCTAAATAAAAGAAGTGTCTCCCATGAGTGTGTGCTCGTTTTCTTTGGGAATTCCCCACCAGGGAAGCACTCCTCGTCACTCATGCCCTGTAATGACACACATTCCCTTCCAGGCGGATGCTCCTCTTAGCACTGATGGGAAGGGTCCTGGCCAGCACTGACCCTTTCTTTCGATGTGTGGAAGTTCCTTTCCTTGGAGGGGTAACACCTTCCTTAGGAGTCGGCAGGCCCTTCCTGGCAAGCTGATGTGGGTAGAAGGAAAGAAGACTGCCCTGAGAAGAAGAGATGGAAGCACTGGGGAGAGGCACTCCAAGACTGGTTGGTTGGTTGAACTCACATAGGCAGCATGGAGTGCCGTGCAGCCCCCGCCTAGCTGTGGCTTGGGCCCTCCCAGCCTGATGAGGAGCTGGAAGCAGCTATGTTGAGTCCTTAGTCTTGCATTCCCGTGCATCTCAGTCCCTTCTTTGTTCAAAGGTTAGCCCTGGGGAGAGGAAGTAAATGGTAGGGAATGAGAGCAGGTCCTGTAGTTAGCAGGCTTGAGTTTTTTAGCACAGACCGGGATGAGGAGGGCTAGAGAAGTCAGAGGAAACCCCAGTGGTGAAAGCACCAAGAGCCAGGTGTGTGTGGAGCCCCAGGGGCTTCCACGCAGCCCCCAGCCTGCCACAAAGAGGGGCTTGCACTTTCTGTTTGCAGGTAACAGACACTGGACAGTGGCGCCCTGTGTAGAGAGCATCTGCTTTGGGCTTAGGACTGGAGGCCCTGCCCCTGGAGGGGGAAGTGTCCAGTTCTGGAGTTCACTGTTGGGAAATTTGGTCAGTGACAGAACCATGGGAGAGAGACAGAGAAGGGATTTCTTCTCAGGGCTTGACCTCCCTGGTGTGGGAGCCGGCTCACCTGGCAGGGCTGTGGTAGGGTGGGGTACCATCAGCAGGGGGCCAGCGGAAGGAAAGACGGGCGTGCAGTGGGGGAGAGAGAATGAACTGGAACCCGTGGGGATAAATGGAGCCCGCATCTGGCTCTTGCTGCCTCCTGGTCTCCCCATTTCAGTGATGGGGTGATGTGCAGAGGAAGCTGCACATGCACTTGGCCCAGCATTCAGGGAAGCTGAAGGAAGAGACCCAGCAGGAGCTGGAGGAGTTGCATGCCTGCCTCCCGCCCCAAGCCAGCAGGAGAGCCTGCAGCTCTGAGTCAATATGCAAGAGCTGCAGTGGAGCCTGGGCTGCAGCAGCCTGCTGCATATCAGCATGCAGCCACCCCACCCCACCTCCTGCAGCTGTTTCCTGTGACCAAGGCCAACCTCAAACCATCCCAGGAAGGGAGTCGTGGGGAACACAGGTCCAGCCTCGCTAAGCCGATCCAGTGCAAAGCTACCTCAGTAGCCACATGGAGGTAAACTACTTCCTCCACTCCAGCCTTCATCAATAGACCCCAAATGTTTGTCCCCATCTCCCTGAGTGCTCTGCCCTTCTCATTTATTTTAGAACATAGGAGGAGAGGGTTATGACTTAACAGCCCATCCAACTCCAGCATTATTATTCTCATTTTACAGATGAGGAAACGGACAGCTTAGGTCATCAAGATAACTAATAAGTAGGGTTGAAACCCAAGCAAGATAATTCCAGAGCCTGGTTTACTAATTGTTACATAATTCTTCATCCCTAAAATCAGCACTACAACAAAGTTGACAGTCAAGAATTGGAACGCAAGTTGTTGATTTCTTTGACCCTGTCAAGCCCCAGGCTGGCCCTGGACTCAGCACACTGCCTTTCTCAGTGACAGCCCTGATGCCATAACACCTATTTCTAAGAAACACGCCTGTAATCCCAGCACTTTGGGAGGCCGAGGTGGGCGGATCACCTGAGGTCAGGAGTTCGAGACCAGCCTGGCCAACGTGGTGGAACCCCGTCTCTACTAAAAATAAAAAATTAGCTGGTCATGGCAGCACGTGCCTGTAGTCCCAGCTACTCAGGAGGCTGAGGCGGGAGAATCACTTGAACCTGGGAGGCAGAGGTTGCAGTGAGCCAAGATCATGCCACTGCACCCTACCCTGGGCAACAGTGTGAGACTCCGTCTCAAAGAAAAAAAGAAAAAGGAAAGAGACAAGAATCTTTAAGTAAAGTGAAAGGCTTCAGAGCCTTTGTCCATGGTTCCCCCAGAACATCTCTCCTTTCTTTGGTATGTGTTTTATTTGCTTTGCTTTGGAGAAATTACTATTGAATAAAGCTTAAAGATGAAATAATACTTACATACTGTAAACCTGTCATTAGTTTCAATTTTTCTAATATACAGACTCAAAAGTGGGTGTCAGCCACAGGAGAAGTTTTTTTTGTTCTACTATAATGCTGCTGGGGAGGCCATGAGTAGGTCATTCGGGGACTCAGGCTGACTGGAAGTCAGCCATCTCCATCCTATGGCTTCCAAGTTCACCCTGGAGGAACCTCCTGCATTCATTTCTAGGGCTGCCGTAACAAATTACCACAAGTGTGGTAGCTGGAAACAACAGAAGTGCATTCTCTCACAGTTTTGAAAAGTCTAAACTCATGGCGTCAGCCGGGCCGTGCTCCCCCTGAAGGCTCTAGGGGAGATTCCTCGCCTCCTCCAGCGTCCTGTGGCTGGAGGTGTTCCTTGGCTACGGCAGCATCACCCCAGTCTCTGCCTCCGTCTTCACGTGGCCTTCTCCCTTTCTGACTGATAGAGATACTGTCATCAGATTCAGGACTCACCTGGTTAATCCAGGATGATCGCATCTTGAGATTCCTTGCTTAATTGCATCTGCAAGGACCCTTTTCCAAATGTGTTCACATTCACAGGCTCCAGGGGATGGGATGTGGACATATCTTTTTGAAGGCCACCATTCAGCCCACTCCCCCTCCACTGCAACCTACCAGAAAGGGAGAAGAGTGTGATGGGGGCGCCCAGGGTGTGGCTCTGGCCCCAGTTTGGGTGAGCACAAAATCCTTCCCCCTCACTCCAGTGTGTGGCGCTCAGGCACGTGGGGCCTGGAACTGTAGTTTTAGCTGTGTGTCCAGGAAGGAGAGAAAGAAAAAAAGGATTTGGAACTTCTGTAGATGAACTCCCCAATCTCTCATCTGGGGTCTTTTTTGGTAATTCCTCGCAGCTCCCTAGAACTGCTATATGGAGTTGCCCATATGAGAACCGCACAGTCACCAAGCTGTGCTGCCATGGCTTAATGATCCTAGTGATGGAATAAAAGCAGGGTCACTCAGGAACTCTGTAGTGCAGGAGGTAAGGGCTGATTTTCCTTTGCGGGGCCCTTTTGAAACAACCATGAAGCTCTCTGGTACTGGGGTCTAGATGTCACTCTAACAGCAGCAACAGCACTGGTGGTGCAGTAATTGGAGCCAGCATGGCTGAGTCATTGACAACGTGGACACCTCCATGGTGTGTTCATGTCTCAGAACTCAAAAGCAGTGATCAACTGCAGATGCTGAACTGTTAGATTCTTAAGCAAGATCTGTTAGGGGTCCCCGTTTGAAGGCAGTGTTATTTTCTCTGTTCATGGCATCTGAATAGATCTGGTGGATCTCTCCCTCCCTATCAGCAGCCAGGCAGTCCAGTCCGTTCGAGCAGTTGGTGAAAAGCAGGGCTTTGCCAGTTGGCAATCCTCCTCTCTGTGTAAGACCTCAGCCTCAGCGCCCTAAAGGAAACGCTGTCTGTCTTTTGAGATGTGCAGACATTCTTGGTGCTGCCCGTGAGTCTCAGTTTTTACCCTGAAAATATCCTGCTACTTTTGATCAGCCACTAAGCTTCGTGTTGGATGGCTGTGAACATCTGTAAATTGTTGAGTGAAGGAAGTGTTACCTTCATTTGATTGCGAAAGTTTCTCCATTTTCCACTCAACCCTCAGCTGGTTTTCATGTGGAGACTGAATTTCAGAACAATCAGCATTCTCATTTCTCCTTAGCTCTCACTAATCTTGAACTAAAATGTATTATTGGCCGGGTGCGGTGTGGCTCACACCTGTAATCCCAGCACTTTGGGAGGCCAAGGTGAGCGGATCACCTCAGGTCAGGAGTTTTGAGACCAGCCTGGCCAATATGGCGAAACCCTGTCTCTACTAAAAATACAAAAATTAGCTGGGCATGGTGGCGGGCACTTGTATTCCCAGCTACTTGGGAGGCTGAGGCAGGAGGATTGCTTGAATGCGGTAGGTGGAGATTGCGGTGAGCAGAGATCGCACCATTGCGCTCTAGCCTGGACAACAGAGCGAAATTCAGAGTGGCATTCTGACTGTTTAAATCTCTTGTGTAATCCAGCTTGATGGCATGTTGGGACCTGATTGACCCTCCCATCCTGAACAACTGAAAATCGATACTGTGTGAAACAGCGCTGCTCAGTGTCGGATGCCGGCAGTGCAGGGTCCTAGAGAGAAGGGGCAGGTGGGGGTCCTGCGATGGCCCAGCGTCTAGCATGGAGGGTCTCTGGATGCACAGGAGCATCCAGAGCCCAGCCCATTCCCTGAGAGGAGGCGGTGTGGAGTTTGGGGACACTGAAGAGGCTGGAACTGGGGGTGCAGAGTAACGGAGAGGAGACAGGTCTGTGGAGCGTCGCTTTGCTTTTGGAGCTGGGTATTGACCAGCCCGCCTGTGTAAAGAGGTTGTCAAGGCCAAGGAAAGAATCCCCAGAAAGGAGCAGGTAGAAAAAAGCCCCAGAGCAAAACGGGCCTGGGAAAAGTGTGTCCAGAGTGGAAAGACGTGGAGGGTGGGGGTATGGCCCCTGCGGTGGAGCCAAATTAACCCGATGTAAAGGGCTGCTCTGAAGCCACCTCACAAAACATAGAATCAAGCCTCGAAGGATGACACTCACTCCACGTAACTTTCTGTTTTTCATTTTAGCTGCAGGGTGTACATATGCAGGTTTGTTACATGAATATATTGTGTGATGCTGAGATTTGGGCTTCAGTGGAACTCGTCACCCAAATAGTGAACATAGTAGCGAGTAGATAATTTTCCAACCCTTGACCTTCTCTTTTCCTCCCCTTTTTAGAGTCTCCAGTGTCTGTTGTTCCTATATTTATGGCCCAATGTGTACCTAGTGTTTAGCTCCCCCTTATAAGTGAGAACATGTGGTGTTTGGTTTTCTGTTCCTGCATTAATTTGTTTAGGGTAATGGCCTCTGGCTGTATGTATGTTGCTGCAAATGACATGATTTCATTCTTTGTTATAGCTGCATAGTATTCCATGGTGTATATCTACATTTTCTGTATCCAGTCCACCACTGATAGACACCTAGGTTGATTCCATGTCTTTGCTATTGTGAATAGTGCTGTGGTAAACATATGAGTGCATGTGTCTTTTTGGTAGAATGGTTTATTTTCCTCTGGGTGTATATGCAGTAATGGGATTGCTGGGTCAATGGTAATGCTGTTTTTTTGTTCTTTGAGAAATCTCCAAACTGCTTTATACAGGGGCTGAACTAATTTACAATCCCAGCAACAGTGTGTGTGTTTCCTTTTCTCCTCAGCCTCACCAGCATCTTTTGTTCCTTTGATTTTTTAATAGCAGGCATTCTGACTGGTGTGAGATGGTATCTCACTGTGGTTTTGATTTTCATCTCTCTGATCATTAGTGATGTTGAACATTTTTTCAAATTTGTTGGCCGCTTGTGTGTCTTCTTTTGAGAGGTGTCTGTTCATGTCCTTTGCCCACTTTTTAATGGGGTTGTTTTTACTTGTTGATTTGTTTAAGTTCCTTATGGATTCTAGATCCTAGACCTTTGTTGGATGCATAGTTACTAATATTTTCTCCCATTCTTTAGTTCATCTGTTTCCTCTGTTGGTAGTTTCTTTTGCTGTGCAGAAGCTCTTTAGTTTACTTAGTGCCAGTTTTCAATTTTTGTTTCTGTTGTGTTGGCTTTTGAGGACTTAGTCATAAACTCCTCTCCTGGCTCCAGCT
Source organism: Homo sapiens (assembly GCF_000001405.40). Lineage (NCBI taxonomy): Eukaryota > Metazoa > Chordata > Mammalia > Primates > Hominidae > Homo > Homo sapiens. Next base: position 230,699,874 of record NC_000001.11, read on the forward strand.
AACTTAACAGAAGAATGAGGTTACTCAAGTTCAGGGGTGTGGGCCCTGAGACCCTTACTCTCTTGAAGGGATAGAGTCACTGACATGTTTGTGGGTCTATCAGAGTCACTCAGAACATCTCTGATCATTGAGCAACTTTAAAAATTGTGTGGGGTAAACATGTCCACACAAAAACCCACACATGGGTGTCTGTAGCAGCTTAATTCGCAATTGCCACAACTTGGAAACAAGCAAGATGTCCTTCAGTAGGTGAATAAATAAACTGTGACACATCCAGACAGTGGCATAGTATTTAGCAATAAAAAAGAAATGAGCGATCATGAAAAGACATGGAGGAAACTTAAATGCACATTACTAAGTGAAAGAGGCTAATCTGGAAAGGCCACATACTGAATGATTCCACTATATGACATCCTGGGTGGGAAAGGCAAAACTATGGAGAAGATGGGAATAGGATCGGTGGTTACCAGTGGTTAGGAGGGAAGGAGGGGTGAATAGGAGGGACACAGAGGATTTTCAGGTCAGTGAAACTCCTGAAAATTGTCTAAACCCATAGAATGTACAACACCAAGAGCCAACCCTAATGTAAACTATGGACGTTGAGTAATAATGATGTGTCAATGTAGGTTCGTGGGTTGTAAGAAATGGACCACTCTGGGTGGGGGATGTCAATAATGGGGGAGACTGGAAGGTAGTAGGGGGTATATGAGAAATTGCTGTATCTTCCTCTCAGTTTTGGTGTGGGCTTAAAACTGCTCTAAAAAACTAAAGTCTGCTAGAAAAAAAAATCACACGGGATGGTATTCAAATTCACCATCCACTATTCAAAACCTTCAGTCCATGTTTCAGTAGTTGAAGTTTTTCAGATTTTAGGAAGGTAAAGTGGCCCATATAGTGTATATCCCATAACACCCCCAGGGGCTTCTGCAACAGCACCTTATAATCACATGTACATCTTCGTGTGGCAAATTTAGGAATATTCACACTATCAACTTTTTCTTCTGAGGATCTTAAACAGCCTGACGTCTGTCCCCATCAGGTTTTACTGCCAAGTGAGTAATAAAAATCTTTCCATTTTTCAAACTCACTAATTTCCTCAGAGGCTGTTCAAAGCATCCCCTGACCATGGTCTCATGCCCAGCCGAAATCTCAGATTGACAGTGATTTTAGTTGGTGAGTAATTGCCTTGTCTAGGAGATAGGCACTTGCAACTCCAGGAAGACTTAGAATTTAGTGAAAAAATGTTTCAGAGAAACTGACCTGTGGAATTAATTTTGTGTGTGTGTGTGTGTGTGTGTGTGTGTGTGTGTGTGTTAAGTAACTTGTAGAATGTTCGTATTTTGTATCCTTGTAATAGCTGAGAGATCTATCCTGACCTAACTTCCCATTTATAAGTGCACAGAAAACAGCGGGAGAACAGCGCTGGTTGGCAACTTTATACTCCTAGCGACTTCCAGAAGCCGAAGCCGCCTCTAAGTAGAAGAAATTGGTTTGTCGACTGCCTGCTGCCTTTTAAAATAAAGTCACAAACTTAAATGCTTTGTTTCCAGCACGTGGCTGCGCTGTCTCAGGTCTCTACGAGCAACTTCCAAGCCTGGACCTCCTGTAAAACTGCAGATTCTGACTCTGTAGGTCCAGGAGGGGCGTGAGAAGCCACATTCTAACAAGCTCCCAGGGCAGCTGCCGCCACTGCCGGTCTAAGCGCCACACTGAATAGCGAGACCTTAAGGCACTTCTGGTCTCTGTGCTTCCAGTTCTTCCGAGAAACTTGGCATCTTGCAGCCGTTTCGGAGAGTCCATGTGTGCCAGCTCTACCCGCTTTGAGAGCAGAACAAGCCAGGAAGCTCTGAGAGTGGGACTGGAAGGTAACTGAATAAAACCGGTGACGGGGAGTTACGACGAAGCAACTAAGGGCACTGCTGTTGCCGACAGAATCCCTCACCTTGACATCGAGCTAGGGAGATGTGTTCAAAACCAGGGGAAGACTCTCAGGAACATGAGGGGAGAAGCCGAGATTTGTAATCCCCGTGGCTGACTTCACTTTAGTTCTGATCAATAGCTAACACATTGCGCGGCTTATTTATTTCAATATGTATGGAAGGGAGGAAGATCGAATGCCTTACACAAGTAGGTAGGACAGCATCACCATTGCTATCAGCCGACGGCCGTGGGCCTACTGGGTGCCTACCGCTTCCTTGGCTCTCCCCAAGATTCCGAACTGTGGGCCTAATCCCATCGAGGAGGAGCAGGCAGAGGCACTCAACAGATGGGGGAAAATTGCAAATATTTATTTGTGAAGATTTATTTCTCTACCTTCCACTCCCGGGGCACAATACCAGCAGCAGTCTGGCCCTGTGTCACCAGGACGGAAGAAGTCCCATCTGCCTGGTTCCTTTCCCAGGTGCCACATGGGGTATGGGGCCTTCCCTGTCACCCTCTTCCCGCCCCCTGTCCATCACACAGATGGCCACCACTGCTTACCAATGGAAGTGTCCAGAGAAAAGCATCACCTAAAACTTCAAAGGACTGCTAAGTACTGGCTCAGACCTCCCATGGAAATTCCATCCAAAGTCCAGGAAAGCACTTTCGTTTGCACAGTCTATCTGCTGAATTGTATACATCTGTTTGGCTGCTAAATGAAAGATAAAATTTTTGGAGGCTTATTGTGGCAAGACGTTTATTACTAACACAAGGGAGAAATAACCAGCTATGGTTCCGCATTCAAACAGAAATTCAGGTGCTTGCATCTTTCACGTATTGTTCAAAAATCACAAGCATCTGTGGAAAAAACTAAGGTATTACAGACACTACACGGAGGTCATGTTCTTACATTCAAGACACTAAATACAAACCGAAGGCAATGCAAAAATGTATACTTTAATTTTAAAACCCAATTTTTGTTCTCAACTTGAAAAGGGAACACTTTTTTGTTTCACAAACAAGCTGGTCGGTTGGAATTCTTTTTGGAACAGTAGTCCCGCGCTAAACACTGGTTCTTGCCTCCCCACCCCCATTCTCTAAAATAAACCCAGCAAACTGGGAGGTGCATTTGTGCCGCTGCAGGCTTCTACTGCTCACTCCATGCAGCACACTTAGACCAAGGAGAAACGGCTGCTTTCCAGCTCAAAGTCGACTCATTAGAAGAAAAGGTGGGAGACTGGGGGTGACACATCGCTGATTTGTCCGGGGTTGTTATCTGCTGCTGGCCTTTGCCTCAAAGGCCAGGGGCAGAGGCCTTGCCAGGCACTGTGTTCTGGGGCCCTGGCCTCATGCTGTGCTCAGCGGGTTGGCCACGCGGCCCAGGAAGTGCAGGGCAGTGGCGCTTTGATCATACACAGCAAACAGGAATGGGCGGTTCAGGGTCACCTCCAAGACCTCAGGCTTGTTAAGCTGTTGGGTAGACTCTGTGGGCTCTCTCTCATCCGCTTCAAGCTCAAAAAAAATGCTGTTCAGCACCTGCAAAGCAGCAGACATCAGGATCATTCTGAGGGCGCACTGGGTGACCCAGGGTGCTGAGGGCTAGAGGGCCGGGGTGGGCTCAGGACCTCTGTGCTGTGCACTGTCCTGGAGGGGGACATTTTCCAGCCTGCCAGGAGGATGCACAGTGTATGCCTGCCCCTCAGTGTAGGCAAGGGTGTGTCTGTGTGTAGATGACCGTTAATTGGCCACAATGGCCAAACTCACATGCCGGCTCCTCCCTAACACACCCCTTACATCCTCCCATCTTCACATTCTGCCCTGATGTCCCAGGCAGAATTCCTGGCTCCCTTGGCCATGGCCCACCAGTGCCAGGGCTTAGCTAACTTAGCACAGAGGGCTCTTCCCGCTGGCCCCCGTAAGAACTCCCACTTTCTCCCCAGCACTGAGCACAGGGCCCAGAACATCAAGGCACATCCTTGGTAGCTGCAGATGTGCATGGTGCCACATGGCAGGGGGACATTCTGTCTGCTGCTCAGCATTTCCCTGAAGAAGGGGCTGGGCCCAGGGCACCAGGTCCAGGGGTGCTTGCTGTCTTCATCCCGGTTTCAACTCCACTATAGGAACCCTGGAGGACCCTGAGGCAAGGCAAGGCCAAGCAGGACCATGGAACACACACCTAGCAGGAGGAGGCACAGCAGGGATGGGGAGGGATTTGCTGCTCTGCACCTGGAAGGCCCCAGAATGCTCTGGCTACTTCTCTCCCACCTTTGGCCCTACTCTCCGCTCCCTCTTGCCCTGCTGGCCCCACCCATAGCCTCCTCTGTGTCCCTTACATCCATGCCTCCCACCCTGTGCACACTTGGAACCCAGGTCAGGCACAGACACAGGCTCACACATACCTCCCCCACCCTGATGCGGTCATTGCTCAATTTTTGCAGGTTCAGCTCGGTGTGCAGAATGGCGGGCAGCTCAGCCTGGGCGAGCAGGTCCTGCAGGTCATAAGATCCTTGCAGCACCAGTTGGGGCATGGTCAGGTGGATGGTCCTGGGGAGATGATGCACAGTTAGGAAGGCTCCAGGCCACACAGTGAGGGCTCTCCCAGAGGCCAGGCAGGCTTATGCTCCTTGCACCCAACCCTGACGACAGGGATGTTTGCTCCCCCCATCACCCAACTAAGTCATCCTCCCCCTTGGGGAAAATTTCAGCAAAACCTACAATAAAAATCCTTCATGTCATTTGCAATACTATGTGAGGGACATAGAAGATTTACCGATGAGGACCTAGGAATGGTTGTCCTTTGGTGCATTCTGTTTTTAGGTTGGCTGCATTGAAGGTGTGTTACTTGGGTAATTTTTAAATGCTATTCTCTGAAATAATGCACTGTGTCTTACTACTGCCACAGCAGTGTTCTTGATGACATGACACCCATGAAAAGGAGAGAGGCAGGAGGGTACAGTGTCAACCTCGTGCTGGACACGTTGCTATGTCAACTCGATTGATCTTCGTATAGAGCCTCTTCCATCTTTTGGCATCCTTCAGAGCCCATGGACATTTCCAGTGATGTATCAAGCACTTATAAGAGCTGACAGTACACCCATGTTTACAGGGTACACTGCACTATTCACAGCAGCTCAAAGGTGGAAGCAACCCACGTGTCCATCGATGGATGAGTGGATACACAAAAGGTGGTAACCACATGCAATGGAATATTATTCAGCCTTCAAAAGGAAGGACATTCTGACATGTGCTACAACATGGGTGAACCTCGAGGACATCGTGGTGGTTGCCGGGGCCAAGGGGAAGGGGAAATGGAGAGTTAGTGTTTCAGCAGGACAGAGCTTCAGTTTGGGAAGTTGAGAAGATAAATGGAGATGGACGGGGGTGATGGCTGCACAACAGTGTGAATGGGCCTAGTACCACTGAACTGTGCACTCGAAAATGGTTACGATGGCAAATTTTGTTACGTATATTTTACCATCACAATTTTTAAAACATAAAAAACACCCAGAGTTGATGTCAAGCCATCGTGTCACTCAATGCCTGCCTCTGGGAGCAGATTTCCAGGCCTCGATGATCTGGGGTGATGTGTAGTTTGAGTCCAGGGCTCTGTGGAAAGGAATTGCAGCAGGAAAGAGGAGCTAACAACACCTATCCCCACCCAGCCGCCAGCCGCCAGCAAGGGCGTTCTGGAGTCAAGGGACGCTCCCTGAGAAGGCCCCACCCCCGCTCACGCGAAGTCCGAACCCTCCTGGCAAGTCAGTTCCAAGAAGCTCTTGGATGTCACAGGTGTGCTGTGTGTCAGGTGTGGGACCAAAATGGTCCTCTCTCAGAGGGCGGATTGCAATGTTTTCTCCCCCTCCAAAACTACCAGGCAAGTGTAAGTGTAGAAAAAGCATTCTTCCTCTCCTCCTTTACCTTGCCTGCACTTGAAAGACAGACACTAACTGGAGAGCTGGGTGCTGGCTGGATAGAGGACTGGTAGACAGACACACAGGCCGCCTGCCCAGCCCCGTGCCACCGCGGCCCTGCCCTGCTCTGCACCCAAGGCTCAGCTCAGGTGTGTCTACTCCCCACCCCGCCCCCAGCCTGGGCAGGACAGTGTGGCTCCCACATTCCAGGGGAGACCGGGAGGCTCCTACCGGGGAGATAGTTTCTTCATCCAGTTGAGGGAGTTTTGCTGGAAAGTGAGACCCTCCACCTTGTCCAGGTCAGAGGCATAGTGAGGCTGGATCAGCAGCAGGCAGGCGCTCTCAGTGAAGGGCACTTGAGTCACCGAGAAGTTGTCCTGGATGTCACTCCAGTGCTGGAAGGTGCCCATGCCAGAGAGCATGGGAACAGACACTGAGGTGCTGTTGTCCACCCAGAACTCCTGGGGCTCGGCCAGCAGGGAGAAGCCCTTCATCTTCCCTGAAATCCAGACAGGAGACAGGGAGGGAAGAGTCACCCAAGACAGGGGCAGGAATGAGGGCTGGCAGACACCAAAGGCCCAGATCCTGCCCCTCGCCCTGCCTCAGCCTCCTTCCTTGGCCCCCCCCAGGCCACTCTGCATTCTCCTGGCCACAGGACCGCAAGTGTGGCTCAAATATTTCTCCTGTAAAATGCAGCCATTTGAGTTCACTGAGGCAGCCCTAACCGCCACCTGCAAGACACACAACATGCCAGGCACCAAACCGGGGGTTTTGCATCTGTCACCTTAAGGGACATAAGCCACTGGTACCTGCCAGGTCAACTCAAACCTAGAACTGTCCTGACCCAAAGGCTGTGGTTTGACACACTCACTTTTTAAAAAATTTAAGAGATGTTATTTTTTAGAGTGACTTTAGGTTCACAGCAAAATCGAGCAGAAAGTACAGAAAGTTCCCATATAACTCTTGTCCCCCACTACACAGCCTCCCCCGTGATCAACATCTCACACCAGCGTGGCCCATTTGTTGCAACTGACGAACCTACACTGACACGTCCTCAGCACTCAAAGTTGATAGTTTTCTTTGAGTCTCCCTCCTGGTGTTTTACATTCTGTAGGTTTGGACGCACGTAGAATGACATGTGGCCACCACCGCACTATCCCACCACTCCTAGAGGCCCCTGCTCATACTCACTTTTTAATCCATGTCTAGCCCCAGCCATGGCAGAGCCCACCAGCTGTCCTGTGGCCCCCACCCTCCCCCATCACAGTCATAGAATACAGAGTGGGCCACGCAGGCCCCGGAAACGAGGGCTCCATTCCTCAGCAGCCCTTGCTACTGGGGAGACTCACACAACCTCGTTGTGATGAATGGATTTGCACACTGGGCCTTGGGGGCAGGGGTGAGCCCTCTGTTTCCCCTCCTGCTCACAGGGCCGTGCAGATGACAGAGAACTCGGGAGAGCCCGTTGTGGGAGAAGGACACAAATTTGTGTGTGACGCAGTTACCTGGGGTCTTTCCATGACAGCAGCCCACCCTCTGCCTCGACCTTACACTAGCACATCCCTGCCCTCGGCTGTCCTCCCACTCATCCTGAAAGGCCTATTCTGCGGTTGTTCTTAGGAGAATAGGGTGAAGTTGTGTATAAGTTTGTCACAGAACAGTCCCCTGGGCACGTGGCACTTGGGAGTCTGAGTAGAGATGGTTCAGAAACAGTGAGGTCTCCCTTTGTACTGAATTGGAGGTCCCAGCATGAAAGTAGGGCAGCTGGGAGGACAGAACTGGCAGGCAGGAGCTGGGCATGGCTGTGCCTCCCCTGGGTCCGGGTCTCGTAAGAAGGCAGTGGCAGACCTGGCATATTTCTCGTCCTCAGTCCTCGGAGCACTCAGTCTCGGAAGGGCATGTGAGCGGGAAACTGCAGGGTTCCCCTTGCACGTTCCCTGCAGGGACCTCGGTGCTGCCCACCTGGGCTGGCAAGGCTTTTAGTTTAGAGGGGGGAAAGGGACAATTCTTTTCTTCCAACAAACTAAACTAAAAAAGGGAAGCTGCCTCCCAAAAGACGCTGGGATTTGACATGAGAGTGGCTGCCGTCTTCCCTCTGCTCGTCTGACATGCACAGCTCACCATTCTCATCCGGAGGCTAGGTAAATCTGTCGAGGTCAAGTCAGGACCTGGTGTCATGGAAACCACCAGGGCCAGCGCCCCATGCTCAGGAGCACAGCAAGCACTGGGCAGACGGTACCCTGGAGCCCATCAGGCCCCAGATCCTCAGGTCCTCTCTAGTGGGACACATCTAGCTGCCTGCTGAGGTCATGTAAATAGAACATCATTGCTAAAGGGAAACCTAGAGGTCCCGAGACAGCCCCCGATCTCCTCACTGGACAGACCATGTGGGCAGGAAGTGGCTGCCTCCTTTGACGGAAACTGAGGCCAGCAAAGTTAGGAAGTGGGGCAGGGTCAGGGCAGCATGCGGTGGAGGCCGGCGAGGATCCTGGGCTTCCTTTGAGTCCCGATGTGGTTGGCTTTTTTATTCTTCCTCCTCTTCCTCCTGGCCTGGCTCTGCGGTCTGGGTCAGGTGGATGTGCTCTCTTTCGAAGGGAGACCCATTTCAGATGCCACTGGCTTTCTTGCCTTTGCCTTCTGCAGGACCCTCCTTCTCAGTGAGCGCTCCTCCCAGCACTTCTCCTAGGGACAGCAGGCTAAGTCCATGTGTCCCTGCTCTGCCCTGCACAGTGTGCTGCCACCCTCAACCGGGCAACCCTCGGGCTGGCCTCTGCCCCTGTGACCAGTCAGTGCCAGGGCTGAGCAATCCCCCCATCTATCACCTCTCCCTGAACCCGAAGGGAAAGACCTCAAGGAGGTTGTTGTGGTAAGAAAAATCACTATGCGCCACTGAACCTCTTTCTCCACAGTCTTGTCTTTCACCTCCCGCCTGGCTCTCTGTCCCTCACGAGGTTAACATCTTGACAGAGCCTCCTCAGTGTCTCTTAGACACACCCCTCAGCCCCACCCCACCCATGGATTTGCCGAGCTGCTCCCTGAGCACGTGTTCCCGTGACTGTGTGCCTGGACTCTTGCGTAACCTTCAAACAATCCTCCCTGCCTCCAGTCTGCACACGGCAGGCTTCCGGGATGACCTCTGAACAGAACGCGTCCCCATTCCCACACCTACCAAGCATGGCGTTCAAAGTGTCTCCAGCTCTGCCCTCCCCAGGCCCATTTTCTGGTTCAACACTCATGCCAAGCCAACCGCCCCATCCTCGTTCCTTGCCCCAAACTCTGCAGGCTGGGCTCATCATGCTTGCTCCTAGCTTCACCAGCCCTGTTGCCCTCACTGCCAGGCAAGGCCTGCTCTCCGCTCCCCAGTGACCTCTGTCCTCTGAGAGCCCCGAGGCTTCCCTGAGTTACCTTGTGGAGCACGTTTCCCTGCAGCTCCAAATCCTAGGCATTTGCCCATTGACCTTTAAAAGCCTGGAGGCAGGGCCTATACAGCCCTCCTCTGGCCTCCTCTGAGATGCCAGGCTTAAAGTCTTACAAGTAGCAAATCCTCAACAAGTATTTGTTAAATGAATGCTTTAAGCAATCTGTGGCTGGGTGCAGTGGCTCACACCTTTAATCCCAACACTTTGGAAGGCAGAGGTGGGAGGATCGCTTGAGGCCAGGAGTTCAAGGCTACAGTGAGCAATGATGGCACCACTACACTGCAGCCTGGGTGACAGAACAAGACCCTGTCTCAATAAAAAAAAAAAAAAAAATCAACAATCTTTGTAGTAGAGGGTTTTCAGTAATGCCCCTCCTAACATGAAAGGGATTTAAGCAAGCCAATTGCTTATTTCTGCATGGGCCAGGGACCCCAGTTCCTGACCTTCTCAAGAGATATGAACCTGACCCTTCTGAGTGTAGAACTGGGCTGTGGGGCCAGGAGATGTGGGTTTCAATCCCAGGACCCCCACTGGTGGCTGTGCCATCTTGAGCAAGGCACTTTGTTTCTCCGAGTCTCTATTTCTTCACTGGTAAACAAAGGCACAAATACCTCTTCACCACATCATAAGGGGATTAAATGATGTAAGAAAAAGGATGTTGTATAGTCGTGCACATAGTAGGGCAGCAGGTCCAGGAGGTGGACGGCCCATCCAGGGACCCAGCGGAGCAGCCACTTCCCCACTTCTCAAGGGTGGTCACCAGGTATGTCCGCAGGGCTGCCCCCTGCCCATCTCCAAGGCCTGACTGGCTGATCTCAGCTACACATTGGATACTAAGTCCTAGGGCCAGAGCCAGCAGAGAGGTTTGCCTTACCTTGGAAGTGGACGTAGGTGTTGAAAGCCAGGGTGCTGTCCACACTGGCTCCCATCAGGGAGCAGCCAGTCTTCCATCCTGTCACAGCCTGCATGAACCTGTCAATCTTCTCAGCAGCAACATCCAGTTCTGTGAAGTCCAGAGAGCGTGGGAGGACCACAGGGGTATAGAGAGCCAGGCCCTGCACAAACGGCTGCTTCAGGTGCAGGCCTGGGGCTGTGAACACGCCCACCACCGTGGACAGCAGCAGCTGGGCCTGGCTATCAGCCCTGCCCTGGGCCACTAGCAGGCCCTGTACAGCCTGCAGGGCAGACAGGACCTTGTGCGCATCCAGCCGGGAGGTGCAGTTCTTGTCCTTCCAAGGAACACCCAGGATTGCCTGTAGCCTGTCAGCTGTGTGGTCCAAGGCTCCCAGATAGAGAGAGGCCAGGGTGCCAAAGACAGCCGTTGGGGAGAGGACGGTGGCCCCATGGACCACGCCCCATAGCTCACTGTGCATGCCATATATACGGAAGCCCAAGAAGTTGGCCAGCATCCCGACCATTGCGGCCCTCAACTTGTCTTCGGTGTCAAGTTTTGCAGCGACTAGCACCAGCTGGTCCTGTAGGGCCTTTTCATCCACAGGGGATGTCTTGGCCTGAATTGGAGCAGGTATGAAGGTGGGGTCTTTGGGCTTCCCGGCATTGGCCTTTGCCAGCTGCTCACAGGTACTCTCATTGTGGATGACGAGGTGGAAGGGGTGTATGTACACCCGGTCACCTGCAGCCAGGCCAGCCCAGGCCAGGAGGCAGAGGATGGTGGCCCTCAGGCTCACACCGGCAGGAGCCATCTCAGACTGGGGTGCTCGCTTCCGCATACCCTGAAATATCATTTTGCAAAGGGTGAAAGGTGGTTATTAACTGACCTTTAAGTGCCATCTAACCAGATCTTTCATTGTCTCAATATTCCCTGTCACCATTTAGCCCAGAATAAATCCATTCATGTCTACAAAAAAAAGAAGAAATGGATTCAAAGCTCCATGGAAAATATCTACATGATCCAAGTGCAAAATGCACCAATATCAGCTGAATTATGTCCTACCTCCCCCAACGGCCATAATGCCCGTGTTGAAGTCCTCAACCCCAGGACCTCAGAATGTGACCATTATTTGGAGACAGGATCTTTAAAGAGATGATTAAGTTAAAATGAGGCCATGAGGGTGAGCCCTGATCTAATATGACCTGTGTCCTTATGAGAAGAGGAGATGAGGACATGGACACACACAGAGGGAAGACCATGTGGGGACACAGAGGGAAGACCATGTGGGGACACAGAGAGAAGACGGCCATCTACAAGCCAAGGATAGAGGACCCAGAGGAAACCAACTCTGCTGATGGCTGGCTCCCAGGCTTCTAGCTTCCAGAACTGTGAGATAACACATTTCTGTTGTTAAACCCTCCCAGTCTGTGGTACTTATGGCAGCCCAAGCAGATTAAGACATGCTCCTGCCTGCAGCTGTAAGTTCTCTTCCTAGAGAAACAAGTGTGTGCCAATCAGTAGGTCTTTGTGGAGGCCTCCTAGACCCCTGAGATGCTCATTCGAGGGCCCTAGGGTGAGGGCTGGGGATGGTTTTGTCATCTCCCTGTGGTCCCAACATGCAGCCGGGATTGAGCACCACAGGCTCAGCCCAAAGTCCAAGTATTTCCCACGTGTCTCAACCCCAAAACCAGCTCTCAACCATCCCTGCATAGCGCTATCCCCTGCAGAGCCCCAAAGGCATGCATACCTAGCATGGCTTGCCCAATGATAGTTGGATTCCTTAGTCTGTGCTGGGACCACGTATAAAAAAAAAAAAAAAAAAATAGAAAATTCTCAGGTGACTCTGATATGTAAGCAGGGTTTAGAACCCCTGCCCTAGACACGGGTCCAGCACCACGTTCTCTCAAAGGCCTTGCAGCTGGGCTTCAGCCTCAGCTGCTACAAATGAAAGCTACCCTGAGACCCCCAGAAGAGGTTCTTGGGCTGGCCCTGCTAATTCATTTCATCTGACTCTTCTTGATTGAAGGGATGAACGTTTATTCTATTGATTCATTCAATTCTAACATTTTGTACCACATCTCACTCATTTCTTGTGGAGGGGGGTGTACTGCAATATCGTCACTTCTTGGCCTTTTCTGTCCCCCCAGGGCTAGGCCAGGCTTCCTTGGAGCTGTAGCGTGTCATCACTGACTCAAGGCCACCTTGATGCCTAGATTTTTCTGCTTCATCTAAGCATACCCAGTCATTCTTCTTACATTGGCAGCTGGCTTCCCTCACCCAGACCCGTAACCAGCACCTGCCCTCAACACGGTGCAGCTGCTGAAGTACCTGGTGTGTTTTGTTCTGCTTCAGTCATTCAAATGCCAAATTCTGACCTCAGCTACCATCTCACCCCACTCCCCATGCATTTGACTCCATCCGCTGTTCTCAGGAAGAGCCACATGACATGGAAAAATGGAACAGAAAACTCTCTCTGCTGCTTGCAGGCCTTTCTGTGCAGAGAAGCCTAAGCCACCAGTTCACACCTAATCTAGACAGTCACATCAAATCAGGTCAACAGGGGAAACCTGTGGGAACCGACTGCTGGGAAGTCCTGCCTGACAAGCGCCAACTGTTCGGGGTTTGGATGGCGCTGGTCGATGCAGCCCGCTCACTGTGCTGCTCCTGCTCAGGCAGCGTCTCCAGAGACGCAATTCCATGGGCCATTTTTGAGGCAGAGACTGTCGTTTGTTCTCAGTTGTGATCTGCGGCTGCTCCCTAGGCTGGTTCCAGGTCTGCACGCAGCCGCGTCCTGGGAGTAATGGTGCTCTGGGGTGGCGGGCCTGACACCCTCGCCCTGAGTGCCCCTCCGCCTTCTCCTCTCCTGCCCCTGCCTCTTGGCCAGCACCTGCCCCTTCTATGTCTCCCTACTTCTCCCGGGCTGAATGCTAAAGGTGAAGATGACGGCTCATGCTCCTGTGGTGCCTGCCATTTGCAGGGCACTGTTCTCATATCAACCCCTCTGACCTCACCATAGTCCTCACCTTCCCTGAGGTTTCCCTGATGCAGTATTTCACCCTGCAGCTTTCCCCACCACACCGGGCACTCTCAACTCTCTCATCCAGCTCCCCTTTTCCCTCCTTATAACCCTCTGTACCATGTAGTTATGCACTTATTCTGTCCAGCGTCTTTGTCTGTTTGCTCTGATGTGAATGTGAGCCCCGGAACAGGGTTCCCGCTGTTGTGTTTACTAATACAGCCCACATTCCTAGGATAGTCCCTGGGACCTACTGCATCCTGGAGAAGTAGTTAATGAATTGGTTCATGCTGTTTTGCAGAGGAACAGAGAGGTCCAGTGACTTGTTCAACGTCACACAGCTGGGAAGAGACAGAACTAGGACTCAGAACCAGGCCCCCTGACTCTGTCATCCACGAGCTGAAGCACCAATCTACGCTGCCCTCGAATAAAATTGGAATCTGCCTTTTAGCTTATCCCAAAGCTTAGAAAGCACTTTCATGTTATATTAGTTCTCTTCAGCTATACCAGAGCCCCTGAGACAGGGAGCCCAGGCATCGTTATTAGTTCCATTTTATAGGTGAGCAAATCGAGGTTCAGGGAGATGGTGACCAGCCTGATGACACACAGTCAGGCAGTCTGTCTCGAGGGAGGGGTAGGGTGACCACTCTGGGGATCCCAGCTGGAGACTGACCGAGCCCGGCCCTTCCCTCCAGCCCCAATTCCTGCACAAGCCCTGCTATTCCTCCTGATGGCAAGAGGACCCGGTGGACTCTTGGCCATGATGACTCTGTTCCTGTACCAGTCTGCTCCGTTCCTGAGGACCCTAACTTTTCTCAGCGGAAGCAGGAAGACCTGACCATCTTGTCCTATTGCTGAGGAGGAGCAGCTCCTCCTGTAAGACCCCAGGTGGGCACCGAGTGGGGGAAAGCCCGCGTCCGGATGACTGGTCTTATGAGAGGGGAGAGGTTTTTCAGTCATCACCGTGCCTCCTCCCGGCCTTTTCCTCCTAGCCCACAGCTCAGTTACATCTGAGAGAGACAAGACCGAGAAGGAGCTGAGGGGGCCCCCGGCTTACCTTCTGCTGTAGTACCCAGAACAACGGCAGCTTCTTCCCCCGGCCGGGTCACGATGCCCTATTTATAGCTGAGGGGTGGGGATGGAGCTGTTCCCAGGCTGCCTGTGCACAGGCTGGAGAGGAGGGTTACATCACTTGGCCAGACCACAGGCTGGCCAGAAGGACAGATGCCAGAAGCGACACTCACGCTGGGACCTCTTCCAGGAAGTCTTAGTGATCGATGCAGAGTTTCACTGCTGAACAGAGTGAGCCGGTGCAGGGTCGAGTTACACATTTACCGAAGTTTGCAGGAGTCGGGGCCAAGGTTCCCAGAAACGGGAGCATCTCCCTAGGTGTGTGACAGCCTGAGGCCAACCACCCAGGCCTTCTGACCCAGCCCCGGGAGATGTACCCCCAAGAGGCCACAGGGACATGCAGGCCGGAGGTGCAGAGGGCAGAGGGCAGGGGAGAGTCTTGCTTAGGCAACACGGGGGCCACTTCTGACCCTGCTGCCCGCTCATGGGATGTGTGACCTTCAGCTGCTCCAAAGAGCCTACCCTGTGCAAAGGCCTCTAATAGACACTGGGGAAAACACACAAGCAAGTGAAAAGTGCCTTCTGGAAGTTTCCAGTGTAGCTGGGGAGACTGTTAAACACCAACAATAGCACAGCCAGATTGAAAGACACAAACAAAATGCCTTCAGGATGCAGGCATTGAAAGATGTGCTGTTCTGTGTTTATGCTGTACAAATTGCAAATGGTAAGTTTCACATGACCAGTAAAAGGGTTATAATTCTTATTTTCCTATAGGTAAGACTTGCTTTTGTAGTCATTATAACAGGGCATGACAGAGACCTTGGTGAGAGTCGCCAGAAGCCAGTGATCACAAGTGACGCAGTGGGTGAGGCAGGTTGGGAGTGGTGATGTGTCCAGCCTTAAATACATGGTATTAGGGCACTGAAGGGACAGGAAGGAAGATCCTGCTTCAACACAAGCAGGTTCAAGGAGCCACGGCATATCCACGATGGCAGACATGAAATTACCCAGGAATGGAACATTTAACAACAAAGAGCAGGAAGAGATGGTGCCTGGATATGAGGCAGAAGCTGTACATTCACTGACTGAACAATCAACAAACACACAAATACCTCTTTTTTACCCATTACTCTAAATCTTCATTTAAAAAAATCATATCTCACATGGGCCTGTAAATTCTGAAATACATTTTTTTAATTACTTTGTTCCTATAGATAGGGACTCCTCAAAAATCACTTGTCTGGGGCCCCACAGCGACTTAGAGGTGGCTTTGTCTGAACAGAACATTCGGGCCAGGTACAGTGCCTCGCATCTGTAATTCAAACACTTTTTGAGGCCAGGAGATGGAGGTTACAGTGAGCTATGATTGCACCACTGCACTCGAGCCTGGGCTACAGAGTAAGACTCTGTCTCTAAATAAATAGACAATTTTAATTTAATTTTTTTAAAATAAGAGACCATTCAAAGTGCTCCTGCCTGCGAATGGGTTAGTTGGAACAGTAGAGACTGGGGTCCTAGGCCTGGCTGTGCCACTAACTAGTTGTTTGAGGATCAGCAAGTGGTTTAACTGCAGTAACAAGTCCACCTGGACACAAGGGGGAGGTAAGGATCTAGCACTGATTAAGCAACAACCTTGTGCCCAGTGTTTAAATATTTCGGCTCTTTAAAGCCTCACAATTTGTTTCATTCACTCACTATTCCTGGTGCTCAGCATATGTCAGGGAACAAAACAAAGATCCTGGTCTTTGGGAGAGTTTCCACTGTGCCTGGGCCTCCTGCCTCGGGCCCTTGGAATGATCACTCCATTCAACAGCAAAGATAATAAACAACTGATCAGGTAACATGCTGGAAAGTGGTGTAAAAGAAAATAAAATTTCAGGACCCTCTAAATTTGGCCTCTAAGCAAGCCAAACTTCTCTTAATAATGACACGTTACTGGGGAGAACATAAGAAAATAATTTTGGTTAGATTGGACCCAATAAAGAATATCTGCTTAAACTTGTTGCAAGATTGGTTAAAAGCCCTTAATCCATGCCCAAGGCTGACTATCAGCTGGGGGATCTTCTACGTAAGGCTTTAAAGCTCATTAAAATCAATCAGAAAATTGCTAGAGAATTTTATTGAGAATGTAAATTATTCCCATAAGGAGCAGCCATTCAAACTGACTGCAGACATTTGACCCAGCTCAGATTCAGGCCAGTTTTCTTCCCAGTAGGCACCTTCTGTGTTCATTCCATCAGTGGAAGTTTCTTATGTGTACATTCCATCAGTGGAAGTTAGGGACAGAGCTTATCTGTGGCTAAATGAAGACTGTTGAATGAAAAGCAGAGGTTCTACATAGAAACCAAATAAGCCATCTGATATGGTTTGGCTGTGTCCCCACCCAAATCTCCAATTGTAGCTCCCATAATTCCCATGTGTCATGGGAGGGACCCAGTGGGAGGTAATTGAATCATGAGGGTGGATCTTTCTGATGCTGTTCTTGTGATAGTGCATAAGTCTCATGAGATCTGATGGTTTTATAAAGGGGAGTTCCCCTGAACATGCTTTCTCTCTTTTGCCAGCCACCATGTAAGATGTGCTTTTGCTCCTCCTTCACCTTCCACCATGATTGTGAGGCCTCCCCAGCCACGTGGAACACATAAGTCCATTAAACCTCTTTTTCTTTATAAATTACCCAGTCTCTGGTATGTCTTTATTAGCAGCGTGAGAACAGATACCATCAGTCAGAATCGGATCCAGGAAACCAGCCACATATGGAGTCAGCAGAGCATGATGTATTAGTCAGGCAGGTGCTATTGGGATATGTAGGGAAAAAAAAGAGAGATCAGACTGTTACTGTGTCTATATAGAAAGGGAAGACATAAGAGACTCCATTTTGAAAAAGAGCTGTACTTTAAACAATTGCTTTGCTGAGATGTTGTTAATTTGTAGCTTTGCCCCAGCCACTTTGACACAGCCCTAGATCCCTTAAACCTTGATTTTATACAACACATGTTTTTGTGAGCTCCAGGTTGGGTCAAAGTGGCTGGGGCAAAGCTACAAATTAACAACATCTCAGCAAAGCAATTGTTTAAAGTATAGCTCTTTTTCAAAATGGAGTCTCTTATGTCTTCCCTTTCTATATAGACACAGTAACAGTCTGATCTCTCTTTCTTTTCCCTACAGGGATGATGACGTTTGGGATCAGTTCTACTCTGTGGTTTCTGAGATGAGACTTGGTCTAAACTAGAACTCCTACTTTCCAATCTCTTGACCACCCAGCTAGTCATGGGATGAACACATAAACTCCTCTCTCCAGCAAAACTAAACCAAACCAGGAAAGCAGATTATTTATTTATGTATATGATGCAATCAAACCTGGAACCAGCTGTATGAGGTAAGGAAAGAATGAAGGGTAAATACAGGAATGGGGTTTCCATTTTTTGCCTCTGAGCCAAAACTAATTGTTTCACAGGAGCCTTGTTCTCTGCTGGGATCAGAACTGCAACCCCACATCATGCCTTGGAAGAGGCATGTGAGCCCTGAACATCATTTACTGGAAAGCAGGAAGAGGGGTGGAGCCTACTGTCCTGCATCCCATGATGGATCCTTGAAGTTCCAAGTTTTCCTTGCATGACAAGGACACTTCCCAGCATTTCTGGTCCTCATTGCTGCCCATCTATATCATGGGGGCTGGAACCGGGCATTTGGAGCTCTCGATTTGTAAAATGGGCTCATTAGGGAAAAGTCCATTTCTTTCCAATAAAGAACACTCAAATACAAACAGAATTTTCTTAAGTTGGCTCACATGGGCTTTAGACTCCTGACAAATAAAACAAAATAGTCTGAGCTCCCCCATTTCACCCAGGAGAAATGGCTGTATTTTTGTGTGTTGTTTTAGAGTTGGGGTCTTGCTCTGTCCTCCAAACTGGAGTGCAGTGGCATGATCATGTCTCAAAGAATCCTCCTGCCTCAGTCTCCAGAGTAACTAGGACTACAGGTGCATGCTACCATATCTGGCTAATTTTTTTATTTTTATTTTTTGTAGAGATAGGGTCTTGCTATGTTGCCCAGGCTGATCTTGAACTACTGGTCTCAAGTGATCCTCCTACCTCAACTTCCCAAAGTGTTGGGATTACAGGCATAAGCCACCATTCTCAGCCTGTTCTTTCTTTTTTAATAATAATTTTTATTGTATTTATATAAGGTGTACAGCATGATATTTTGATATGAAGATAGTAAAATGATTATGGTAGTCAAGAAAATTAACATATCCATCATCTCACAGTTACTCATTTAGGTGGCAAGGACACGTAAAGTCTACTCTTTTAGCAAAAATCCCAAGTGCAATGTGACATTTTTAAGTATAGTCCTCATGTTGTACGCTGGATCTCTAGACTTGTTCATCGTATATATCTGCTGCTTTGTATCATTTGACCTACATCTCCTCCCTGCTCTCCTCCTCAACTCCTGGTAACCACTGTTGTATTCTCTATCTCTGTATATTCACTTTAAAAAAAAAAAAGATTCCACATATAAATGAGGTCATGCAGTATTTTCCTTTCTGTATCTGCCTTGTTTCATTTAGCATAATGTCTTCCAGTCATCCATGTTGTAGCAAGCGGCACAGTTCCACACCGCTTTTTTTTTTTTTTTTTTTGTGAGACAGGGTCTCACTTTGTCACCCAGGCTGGAGTGCAGTGGCACAATCATGGCTCACTGCAGTCTTGACCTCCCTGGCTTAAGTGATCCACCCACCTCTGCCTCCCTGGTAGTTGGGACTACAGATGCATGCCATGACACCTGGCCAACTTTTTTGTACTTTTTTGTAGAGACAGGGTTTCACCATGGTGCCCAGGCTGGTCTCAAACTCCTGAGCTCAAGTGATCTGCCCACCTCAGCCTCCCGGAGTGCTGGGATTAAGACATGAGCCACCATGCCTGGCCTTTATGCTTTTTTGAAGGCTGAATAGTATCCCATTGTGTGTATACAGTATGCCAAATCTTTATCTATTCATCTGTTGACAGACAGAAGTCGTTTCCATATCCTGGCTATTGTGAATAATGCTGCATTGAACTTGGGAGTGCAGATATTGTTACTAGGTGTTGACTTTATTTCCTTTGGTATATTCCCAGATGCCTGCTCCTCCTATTGAATCCTTTTAGACATCACCTGATACCTCGGGCAGTGCCCTATGGACTGCTGTTGATTCAGACATAGCTGTCCATGAGCTGGAGGAAAACGGTCATATAAGATAAAGTTCTGGGAAATTTTGTGATTGCAGCACATTTCTTTCTATTTTTTATTATTATTATTATCATTATGTTTTTTTTTTTTTTTTTTTGAGACGGAGTCTCGCTCTGTCGCCCAGGCTGGAGTGCAGTGGCGGGATCTCGGCTCACTGCAAGCTCCGCCTCCTGGGTTCACGCCATTCTCCTGTCTCAGCCTCCCTAGGAGCTGGGACTACAGGTGCCCGCCACCATGCCCAGCTAATTTTTTGTATTTTTAGTAGAGACGGGGTTTCACCGTGTTAGCCAGGGTGGTCTCGATCTCCTGACCTCGTGATCCGCCTGCCTCGGCCTCCCAAAGTGCCGGAATTACAGGCATGAGCCACCACACCTGGCTAATTGCAGCACATTTCAAAAGTTATAACCAAGCCAATGGCTTTTCTTGTCAACAGTTGCAGATTTATAAATAAGAAATGAGTCGTTTACCTCTATCAATGTCAACATTAGCTGACATAATTAGTGAATCCAGTTTCAGGTACTTATGAAAAATGGTGTTATCAAGCAAAAAGTGATTGCTGCCTGATGCACTAGAAGCCAGTGCTATGACTCTGGGTTTTTGACAAAAGAAAAGCTTTCTATTGCAACAGGGGTCAAGCTCAAACCTGTCTCCCTGAGATGGCTTTAAGGCAGGGCATAATTTTATTAGAAAAGGTTTAGGGGGTGGATATTGGGATTGTAGGTGATTAGTGAAAGGAAAGGGGAGGCCTAGAAAATCCTCAGGTTTGCACAGTTATCTCTTCATGTTGCCTCAGGGGTCCCATGAGAAAATTTCAAGGGGTTAATATGAAACACGTGGTAGAAATTCGGGCCGTGACTTCACCAAGCTCACTGTGTGCAAACTCCAGTTGGCCATGGTGGTTCCAACTGATTTCTGCTAGTTTTATCTCACAAGCAGAGGGAGTTTCAGCATTTGAGCAAGTTGTTTCTTACCTTGCAAACTCAAGAATTTCTGTTAGTTACTGACTTCTTTAATCCTTTAGGGCACAATTTCAGTGGTAATAATCTGTTGGAGGCTGACTACAACCCCCTATTCCCTACCCCTTTCCCCTTTGTCCACATCCACAGATAAATTGAGAAAATGAAACACTCACTTTCCTACTAAGGGCAGGAGGAGGCAGCCAAATGCCTAGGCAGATGGGGCGGGTCCCCGGTGAAATCCCGCCTCCAAGCTGAAGACAGTTTAAAGCCTGAAAGCCAAGCTACAACTTAAATCCTTGGACCAGATTGAGAACTTGTCTTCCTGTTTGGTGTGCTTTCCTCTGATTGATCCCCACCCTTCACCTATTTTACATATACCTGTCCTTTCCTAACTGATTTTCTACACTGTCATGCCCACCTTTGAGTAGAGTCTTTGCTTTAACCTTTTTTGCATACTCATAAACCAATCAACACATACTCCCCATTCTGAGTCCATAAAAAGCCCCAGACCCAGCCACATGGGGGACTTTCCCACCTTCTGGTAGGGAGACCACCCCTGCATCCCCTCCCCACTGAAAGCTGTTTCATTGGTCAAAAAAATTCTTCTCCATCACCCTCACCCTTCAGAGTTCAGCACAGCCTCATTCATTCTGGGCGTGGGACAAGAACTCAGGAACTGGTATACAAGCCAGACCTGGCCCAGGGGGGCCGATTGGGTGAGGCACCTCCAGGGACAGGTAGTGTGCCCCAAGCAAGGCCTCCAGCATCACCAGCAAGAGGTCCCTGACTGGCAAAGGGACCGAGAAAAATCCTGCATCACTGCTCTCCTCTGTAACCATTAGTGGTCAAGTAAGATAGTTCTGACCAATGAGACAAACAGAAATCTGTTGAGGGCTTTTGGGAGAGCTTTCTCTGTCCTTTTATCAGCAGAGTCAGTGGCTCAGACACTAACCCTTCTTCCTCCTTCAAATGTTGATGTAATGTCTGGAGACAAAACAGCCATTTTGCAACCATGAGGCAACAAGTGTAAGGACCAAAAGCCAGCAAGCAAAGAATGATAGAAAACACCTGGGTTTTTGCTTGGCATATAGAGTTATTTAAACTAGTACAAATGATTGCCTATCTCTGCACTATTGTGTGAGTACTATTTGCAGCATTTTTAGGCAAGTAAATTAGTACTGCAGAGAGTGGGACACTGCTGTAAAGATATCAAAAAATGTGGAAGTAACTTTTGAACTGGGTAGCAGGCAGAGGTTGGAACAGTTTGGAGGGCTCAGAAGACAGGAAGATGTGGGAAAGTTTAGAACTTCCTAGAGACTTGTTGAATGGTTTTGACCAAAATGTTGATAGAGATGTTGACAATGAAGTTCAGTCTGAAGTGGTCTCAGATGGAAATAAGGAACTTATTGGGAACTGGAGCAAATGTCACTCTTGCTATGCTTTAGCAAAGAAACTGGCAGCATTTTACCCCTGCCTTTAGGATCTGGGGAACTTTGAACTTGAGAGAAATGATCTGAAATAGGAACTTATGTTTAAAAAGGAAGCAAAGCATAAAAGTTTTGAATATTTGCATCCTGATGATGGGGTAGAAAATAAAAGAACCATTTTCTTGGGAGAAATTCAAGCCAGCTGCACAAATTTGCATAAGTAATGAGAAGCCAAATGTTAATCACCAAGACAATGAGGAAAATGGCTCCAGGGCATGTCAGAGACCTTCACCACAGTCCCTCCCATCACAGGCCTGGAGGCCTAACAGGGAAAAATGGTTTTGTGGGCAGGCCTAGGGCCCGCCTGCTCTGTGCAGCCTCTGGACTTGGTGTCCTACGTTCCAACCCCTCCAGCTTAAGCCATGGCTAAAAGGGGCCAAGGTACAGCTCAGGCCATTGCTTCAGAGGGTGCAAGCCCCAAGCCTTGGCAGCTTCCACATGGTGTTGGGCCTGTGGGTGCACAGGAGACAAGAATTGAGGTTTGGGAACCTAGATTTCAGAGTATGTATGGAAATGCCTGGATGTCCAGGCAGAAGTCTACTGCAGGGGTGGAGATCCCATGAAGAACTTCTGCTAGGGCAATGTGGAAGGGAAATGTGGGGTTGCAGCCCTCACACAGAGTTGCCATTGGGGCACTGCCTAGTGGAACTGTGAGAAGACGGCCACCATCCTCCAGACCCCAGAATGGTAGATCCACCTGGCTTGCACCATGCACCTGGAAAAGCCACAGACACTCAATGCCAGCCTGTGAAAGCAGCCAGGAAGGGGGCTGTGCCCTGCAAAACCACAGGGGTGGAGCTGCCCAAGGCCATGGGACCTTGCTGCTTGCATCAGCATGACCTGGATGTGAGACATGGAGTCAAAGGCAATCATTTTGGAGCTTTAAGATTGAATGACTGCTCCACTGAATTTTGGACTTGCATGGGGCCTGTAGCCCTTCTGTTTTGGCCAATTTATCCAACTGCCTGTACCCCCACTGTATCTTGGAAGTAACTAACTTGCTTTTGATTTTACAGGCTCCTAGGCAGAAGGGTCTTGCCTTGTCTCAGATGAGACTTTGGACTTGGACTTTTGGGTTAATGCTGGAATGAATTAAGCCTCTGGGGGACTGTTGGGAAGGCATGATTGGTTTTGAAATCTGAAAAGGCATGAGATTTGGGAAGGGCCGGTGGAGAATGATACGGTTTAGCTCTGTGTCCCCACCCAAATTTCATCTCGAATTGTAATCCCCACCTGTCAAGGGAGGCACCTGTAATCCCCATGTGTCAAGAGAGGGAGGTGACTGGATCATGGGGACGATTTCCCCTATGCTATTCTCATGAGAGTGAGTTTGCATGAGATCTGATGGCTTTATAAGTGCTTGACAGTTCCTCCTTCACACACACTTTTCTCTCTTCTCCAGCCTTACAAAGATGGTGCCTCCTTCCCCTTCCACCATCATTGTAAGTTTCCTGAGGCCTCCCCAGCCATGCAGAACTGTGAGCCAATTAAACCTCTTTCCCTTATAAATTACCAAGTCTCAGGTATTTATTTAGAGCAGTGTGAAAATGGACTAATACAGGCAGTTATGTGCAGCTGAAAAACATTCTTAAATAGCACAACCTTTATTCTCACTTGGAGGCCAGAAGAACATTATTCAAGAATTCAATTCTATTAAGCACAGTATATTTCATGTTGAATTTTGGCTCCCTCTTTGTAATAGGCTTTGCTTTTTACAATTGTTTTAGTTGTTTTGTTTTTAGGGGAGTCATCAAAGTGTAGAGTATAATATTTTCCTAAGGCCAGAGCTTGTCTGCTATACCCAGATGAGGCTAGTAACTCTAAGCCATGACTGAATACCAAAGCTAGTGTCATGCTTTCCTTTCCTGTTAGTTTTTATTTTATCATCTAATATGCTCCATCCATAATTAGTCCTATGATGTGAGTCCGAGTGATTGTTCTGCTTCTATTTTCAGTAAGATAGGAAAAATGGTTATCTTCTCTTTGTCCACTCTCAAGCAGTTTTATGGTTCTTAATTTAAGTCCACAGGGTATTGAGCTCCTCTAAGAAAATTGTATATGAGCCTGGTGATATATGCATTGTTGGTACACAGAGCTTTGTATAACAGCTGTGATCCTGAAAAACTGGACAAAAAGAAAAACTTTTCCAATGTACATTCCAGGAGCTCTCTATTTATGGTAGTTCATGGTCAACCTGGCAACTAAAGAATACTCTTACTAAACAAATAATAGCATGAACATTTATCTGTTCCAAGGATTGGCAAACTACAGCCCATGGGCCAAATCTGGGCTGGACCACCATCTGTTTGTGTAAACAAGTTTTATTGCAACACAGCCATGCTCATTAGTTTATGAATAGTCCAGGATGCTTTTGTGCTACAACAGCACAGTTGAGTTGTTGCAACAGAGAACATATGAACTGCAAAGCCTGAAATATTTATTACATGGCCCTTTATAGAAAAAGCTTGCTAACCCCTAATCTATTCTGTTAACTCAGATTGTGCATGACAGAGGAGTTAGCTATAGACTTATATATTGTCCTTTCATTTAAAAATTAGCTTTAGAAACATCTACTGTATTTACAACACTTATTTAATGTATAATTTTATTATTCCATTCCTGTATGAAGGGATGACTATACTGGGAATTCTGAATATAATGACACCAAAATAATTAGACAATATGTTTTATCCAATCCATAATGAATATTATAGGTAGAAATAGTCACTTTTTCACCAATCGAAAACTGATTAAAAAGAATATTGCTGGCTAGGCACAGTGGCTCACACCTGTAATACCAGCACTTTGGGAGGCTGAGGTGGGTGAAACACTTGAGCCCAGGAGTTTGAGACCAGCTTCAGCAACATGGCAAAACCCCATCTATACAAAAAATACAAAGAATTATCTAGGTTTGGTGGCACGTGCCTGTAGTCCCAGCTTCCTCAGGAGGCTGGGGTGGGAAGATCACCTGAGCCCAGGAGGTCAAAGCTGCAGTGAGCCATGATCATGCCACTATACTTCAGTCCGGGTAACAGAGTAAGACATTGTCACAAACAAACAAACAAACAGAATATTGCTGGCAAAATTTAGATGTGCAGAATTTGAGCCTGAGACATTGGACTTGACTACAGCAGGGGAAAAATAAAACAAAAGGAAACTTTGGATCTGGCCATAAAAGAAAACTCACAGTAGCAGAAGCTATACTCAGGAAAATCTGATGGGGACAAAAATCAATTGATTAATTAGCTCTTTATTATAAGCTTTAAATGGAAAAGAATCTATCCTGATGAAAATTACTTTTCAGAAATAAAAATAGAAAATGTTTCATTAACTTTTAGAAAAATAAAAATGATTTAACTACACTACATAAAAATTGATTAAGGGATTAAATTGGTTTAATGGATTTTATTCCAGAAAATACTTTTTTGATGAAAATTCATCAGCAGCCACATAAATCTGAGTAAAATACTGTTATGTAAAATGTGAATTATCCAATGTCCTCAGTTTGTTTTGACGGGGGATGCATCCCTAGTTCAGGGATGGCCCCGGGCAGGCCTAGGGTGCTATTTCCATGTCAGTAGAGGGAAGGACCATGAAAGTAGAGACACAAAGTACCGTTTCCAAGTCTGTTATCTCCATTCAGACTTATTTGCCCTTATACTACTGCAGCAACATGTCAGTGGTCCGAACTTTGTGTGTTTGCTTTGGCACTCAGGGTTGGGAAAAGTCTACAATGAAGAGTTCTGCTCACCATTTAATAAGTTTAGATAAGAAACAGCTATCCAAATGGAAAAATATTGTCATCCTTTTCCCACCGAAGCCCCATAGTTGCAATGATATAAATATTGCTCTTGTGGGACTGAAATGCTATCTTTTGCGAAAACTGAGTTCTAGAAATAATATTTATTTAATGTTCAGTTCTTCTACAGAAAACATTGCAAAGAAATTTGGAAAGAGAAATATCAGTTAATGCCTTTCTACTGCAAAGAGAAGTAGAAGAATTCAGAGTGGATCCAAGAGGCCAGTCATGGTAGGACTGCTAGGAAAGGCTCCCAACCAGAGCCAGTAGGACAGTAGTCACTGGGATTTCTGTCACCATTAGGGCCTCCTGCCAGCCATTCCACAGAGACCTAAATGACTGAACATCATCATGAAGAGAAGTGCCCACAACAACTGCTTTGCTCACCTTAATGATAAGGATCAACTCTGCCTTATAAATGGTTCAGTGGAAATGATCAATTCACAATGTCTGGGGCTGGTATTTCTCTTAGGGACAAGGCAGTGTGTGCTATTTAGACTGCAAAATTGGAATGACTTCACTTGGCATCACGGCAGCCAGAGCCAACTTTGAATGGATCCCTGGATCTTCCAGGTGAATGGAATTTAACAAGCACAATAATAAACAAGTTATTGATGACTATGTGCCAGGACTTGTGTTAGACACTTTATATGCAATGTTCCATCTTATTCTCCCTAAGACATAGACAGTGTTATTTTCCCCCATTTTATTGATGAAGATGACAAAGAACAGAGAAGACAGATCTCAGTTAGTTAGGGAGCCAAGATTTGAATCCAAGCATTTTGTCCTCAGATACAGTTTTTAAACCAGCAAACCTACTGAAAAAAAAGTCTGAATGTCATTCCAGTCCTTCCATACCCCTTCACCCATAGGTGTCATTTTTGTCATCCTAATCCTCCAAATTTAAAAACTAAAAGAACCAAAAAAAAAAGACTTCACCTAAGATCCTAAGATGTCACTCTACTGGCTAAGGTGGGAGAGGGCTCTATTTGGCTTGCATTTACTATGTTTAAAAAAAAACATAGTAAGCATAGCTTATTGGATGACTTATATCACTTCATTACATCCTTAATCAATAGTAGGGAGTCTAATGGGTGAATGAATCTCTTCAATCATCCTTTCCAAGCATCTCTCCTCCAAAACTCAGAGAAGAGTCTTAATTCAAACTGGGAGAATCATGATCTGGAGAGGAATAACACTTAAGTGCCATTCATCTCATTCTTCCTCCTGTCTGCAGATTTGTCTAAACCCAGCAGGGCTTCCCAAAAAAGCCAGATGCTATGTCTCCCCAACCATTTGCTTCCCACCCCACACCACTCTCTCATATCTTCCAATGCTTCCTAAGAAGACGTCTGGGCTAGCTGAGTGACGAATAAAGAATTTGGATAAAATACTGGAAGTTCTCCCTTCTCCTTTTCTCCTAAGTGGTCATGTGAATGGTGACCTTCTGGAGTCAAAGTTACCATCTCTGTTTTCTACACTGAGGATATGAATGGTGGGATGTTCAGGGATGGTGGCAGGAAATTAGAACCACAGTGGGCCTTGGAGAACCCTAAAATCACACCAGGAGTGCTCAGGGATGACCCTGATGCCTAGAAAGGATTCTCTCTCCTCCTACAATGTTGAGGCAAGAGAAAAACACAACTCCCCTCAGCTTCCTGCTCCAGACATTAATGACCCCACTCTTGTCAGGAATTGTTACTTATGCCTTAACCCATGGGTGGCCCCCCAAGCCAGGGCAGGGAGATTGTCTCATGATACCAAACATCCAGATTGTGAATCCCAGATGTCCTCCCAGGAGGAAAATATCCAACTGCCCTCACTGCACTAGTCCATGATCATAACCAAAAACTATCAGACTCAACAAATATTTACTGAGGACATATAAATAGACTGCAGTTACAGAGGAGATTAGAAAATTGAGAGGGAATACTAGGGACAGATTTATGCCATTAAGTGTGAAAACTTAAGTAATATGCATAATATCTAGCAAAATTTAAATGACAAATACAGCCTCCAGAAGAAATCAAGACCCTAAGTAACTAACTAAGGAGGACATATAAAGTTCAGTCAGAGTTATGTCCCCTAAAAGGCACCATGCCTAGAATGGGAAAATGACTTCTAGGGAACCAATAATTCTCATCTTTTATGAGTAATTATTGATACCTACCCTATATAAGGTACTGACATGGGAGACATAAATTATATGACAATTTCCTGCCTTCAAGAACCTCAGTCACATTGAAGAGGTAATATTGTAACCACCCAATTAGCTCATCTTCCCCACTGCCCAGATAGAGCTGATTTATCAAGACAGGGGAGTTGCAATAGAGAAAGAGTTTTATACACATAGAGCCACCTGAACAGGACACCAGAGTTTTATTATTACTCAGATCAGCCTCCTCAAAAATATGAAGGCAGGGGTTTTTAAAAGATAGTTTGGTAGGCAGGTGGCTAGAGAACAGATGCTGCTGATTGGTTGGAGATGCAATCATAGGGGTGTGGAAAAAATGGTCCTCATATGCTGAGCCTGCTTCTAGGTCAGGGACCACAGGTAGGGGTCGTGGGTCCAGGTAAAGTCACCTGGTTTCAGAAATACAAAAGTCTGAAAAGGAATCTGAAAAGGCCAATTTTAGGGTCTAGAGTAGTGATGTTAATTATAGGAGTAATTGAGAAAGTTGCAAATTTCATGACCTCCAGAATAACGGCTGGTGATTGCTTAACTATGTCTACATCTCAGCAGAATTCAGGCCCCTCTCATTCTTTTGACCTGGTGGCCTTTCATTAGTTTTACAAAGATGACTTAGTTTTGGGAAGGTCTATCATCATTTAAACTATAAACTAAATTTCTCCTAAAGTTAGCTTGACCCATGCCCCAAAATGACCCAGGACAGTTTAGAGGTTAAAAGGCAAGAAGGAGATGGTTAGGTCAGATCTCCTCCGCTGTCATAATTTGCTCACCGTTATAATTTTCGCTAAGGAGGTTTCAATATTTATACCTGTTAAGATATAACTGGCAAAATGATAGCCACGATAATAAAATGCTGCCACTTACTGAGAACTTTTGAGGTATGGGTCACCCTTTTAAGCTTTTGCATCTACGGCCTCATTTTCATGCTTTGTAACAGTGTCCACAGCAGCATACAGAGAAGGGGAGAAAAGGTTTGTGTGTACTCTTTGCACCATAGCTCTTTCAGCACATGCATTAGTTTTGCTCTTGCCTCACATCCTCTTTTACTAATGCCAGGAAACACATCCAACACAACCTTATACTCCCTGCAATCCCTGTCTCATGGGAGTAGAGAATCCTCATAGTGAGGATTGAATTAGTTAACATATGAAAGCATTTGGAGCAGAGCCTGCCAGGCAGTGAGCCCTGGGAGAGCATTAGTTGCTATATCACTCGTGAAAAGCCTTCCGGAAATGTGGTTGTCCACTAGGAGACTGAGCAAAGACAGTCAGGTACCCATGCAGTTAACTCAGTCAGGCTAACAGCAAACAGAACTTCAAAGGCCACCTGACCCTCTCCCCTGACCCAGAAAGCCTGAGGCACCTGCCTGGTGCAGTTTCTCCACCATCTGCCATGCAGGGCACCACCATGCCCTTTGACCCCCACCTTCCACTCTCTCTCTGGACTTTCATCCGCACTCAGCAACAGCCTGTTGGCGCCAAACAGCCTCCAGCCCTAATTGCTCTTCCTAGCTCCCGGGCAGTGTTCCCAACACCTAGTAGCCACTGTAAGGACAAATGCAACTTAAAAACAAGAGGCTTAATTCTCCCGGTTGAAAATGGGGGAAGAGGTTTCCCTCCCTCTCTTATTCTCAGAGCATTTACCTTAGAAAACTTGTAATTATAAGCACTTTCTCCTCTCTTTCAAATGTATATAACATTTTTGTGAAGATCAGAGAGGACTTTTGTCAGCTTGATTACCCAGGCATGTGTTTCTCAAGGACCCGGGAGCCATCTCCTTGAAAGGCAAACATCAAGGGAGAGACAGTGGCCC